>NC_000010.11:53021883-53173398 GCF_000001405.40 Homo sapiens
TGTATTCATATTGAGTATTTCTAAAAATAGCTTTAAATAGTATTTGTTCTTTAAATACATGTAATACTTTGTGTTAAAAAATAATAAAATGTATCTTTTACAAATCTCTAGCCCTTCTTTTGCTTAACAATATTTTCATAGGAACTATTTTATTTGAGGTGGTGCTTTGTGACTATTTTGTTCTACTTCCCTGTACTTTTTAATAGTACCTCTCAGCACTAATAAATAGCCATTTCATTTGGTGTTTTTAGAGTTTGATATATAAAACCTTACAACAAATTCCAGTCCCAACCCACTCCTAATTATATCCCTAAATATTTCAATTTATTTGAATTTCTTGGAATGCTAGTTACATAATTCTGTGTGGCAAATAGGGGAGTAGTCAGGAAAGTATCTCCTAATACCTGTTGTCCTATTTTTAAAGTGGTCTGTAACAGGTCTGAAGCCACAAGAAATGGAAATACCTTCATTCCATAGATAGAGACATGAGGGACTTAACAAAAACTTTTAACCAAAAGATTAAAAGAAAAAAAAGCAGAGATAAGCTAGTCATGGCAGTTTTATAAATGCTCTGTACTTAAACATGTTAATTAGACATACATCAAAAGTGTTTTAGTATTAGCGAAGGGGTTATGAATGTATAGGTTAATGAAGACATAAAAACAGCTTGTAATAACAAAAAAGGGTGCAGTGAACATCTCTTTTCATAGGGGTGTAGACAGCATTTTGGGAAATACACAGAAGATGCAATACTAAAAGTTTCATTGTTAGAGTATGCGGTTGCAGACATAAGCAGGAAGGAGAGCACCCCAGCACCCCACCCCAAGGAATGTCATGTGATCATTAGGTGATGATCAGGCAGTTGTTAAACTGTCTCTTTGAAATGATAATTTGTCACAGCTGGCCAGAGGAAGACAATATTCCAAGAGAGAGAAAATACCTGGAGTTGGTGATCAGCAGTTTCTGAATAAGATCTCAGCAGTTGGGCGAGCAGGCTCAAGCATGCGTACTAAGCAGTAAAATGGCAAATGTATGATCTTCCTCTGGAGGCATTGGACTGGTACAGGAAAATCACCCCTAGAGAACACGTGCACAACCTCAGTAAATGCAATATGCATGCAGTCACCTTCCCAAGTGCTGACTGACACTGGGCTTGGGTCAGGTGAGCAATAGCCTGCCTCAAGGGAGGAGAAACGCAAATCCCAGAACCAAGCCAATTATAAAAATCCCAAGCCAAAGGCTGGATGGGGCACTTGTATCTCTCCAGTTACCAGCTTGGCCCTTCTTCAAAGTGCATGAAACAGCCTTTGCAAAAATCATAACTGACAAAATTATGACAGTGAAAGAGATCAGACCTAACCAACCCATCTTGCTTCTAACCTCTAAGTTGTCTTGGTTCATTCCTGGGCATAGGCCAAGCTACACTCGGGAAGGAATTTACGGATTAATCTCTGAAACAAAATTGATAATAGCCCTTTCCTGAAAAAAATAAAACCCCTTCTTGCTGGGGGATGAGCCTGGCTTTGTAGGACTAACAAATTAGCTGGAAGATTAGAGGTTATGGTTTAGGGGCCATGCAGCCTCCAGCTGCAAAAGTCTGAACCTCTCCAAATTGCTCCTGCGACTAACATCACTGTTGTAAAACCTAAAATCAGTACTTAAGATATTTTGCAAGACCCTGCATTCTGATGCAGCAGATGACACCACCCAGACCAATAATCTGGCTCAACCAGTTCTGCAATCCCACCCAGGAACAGAAGTCAGCAAGACTAACCCACTTCAACGCCTTATGATTTCATTCTCAACCCAACCAATCAGCACTCCCTACTTCCCAAGTCAGTATCTGCTAAATTATCCTTAAAAACTCCAGTCCCTGAGTTTTGGGGGAGACTGATTTGAGTAATGATAAAACCCTTGTCTCCCACACAGCCGGCTCTGTGTGAATTACTCTTTCTCCATTGCAATTACTCTGTCTTGATAAATTGGCTCTGTCTAGGCAGTGGGCCAGATGAACCCATTTGGTGGTTACATGTACTTTGCTTCCTTTTGCTCCTGCTCTAAAATTTGCCTCAGTCTCTCCCTCTGCCTTAAACCTATTTCTGCCCCTTGGCCAAATTCTTTCCTCCAAAGAAGTAAGGATTCATATTTGCTGCAGACTCGTATGGATTCGCCGCTGGTTACATCATCATTAAAATAAAAATTTAGTTTGTATTAAAATTTAAAACATCTGCTCTGCAGAAGACACTGTTAAGAGAATCAAAACACAAATGACAGATAGAAAAAAATATTTTTGCAAAATACATATCTCATAAAAAGAACTTGTGTTCAAAAATACAAAGAACATTTAAATCTGGCTCAAGTCTACAATACTAGCACTTTGGGAGGCCGAGGCAGGTGGATCACGAGGTCAGGAGATTGAGACCATCCTGGCTAACACGGTGAAACCCCATCTCTACTAAAAATACAAAATAATTAGCCGGGCGTGGTAGTGGGTGTCTATAGTCCCAGCTGCTCTGGAGGCTGAGGCGGGAGAATGGTGTGAACCCGGGAGGCGGAGCTTGCAGTGAGCCGAGATCGTGCCACTGCACTCCAGCCTGGAGGACAGAGCAAGACTCTGTCTCAAAAAAAAAAAAAAAAAAAAAAATTAAATCTCAACATTATGTAAACAAAAACTTCATTAAAAAGAGCAAAATATCTGAACAGACGGTTCACCAAAGAGAGCACACAAGCATGCAAATTTTTTTATCATTTGTCTTTAGATAATTACAAATTAAAACAACAAAAAGGTGCCACTGTACATTGAATACAGCAATCATGCTCTTAGGTATTTACCCAGTTGATTTGAAAATGTTTTTCTGGCTGGGCAGGGTGGCTCACGCCTCTAATCCCAGCACTTTGGGAGGTTGAGGCGGGCGGATAACGAGGTCAGGAGATCGAGACCATCCTGGCTAACATGGTGAAATCCTGTCTCTACTAAAAATACAAAAAATTAGCCAGGTGTAGTGGCATGTGCCTGTAGTCCCAGGTACTCAGTAGGCTGAGGCAGGAGAATCACTTGAACCCCGGAGGTGGAGGATGCAATGAGCCGAGATCGCATCACTGCACTCCAGCCTGGGTGACAGAGCGAGTCTCCATCCACCTCCCCCCCCAAAAAAATGAAAGTGTTTTTCTGCACAAAAATATGCATATAGATGTATACAGCAGCTTTTTTCCCCCCATGATCATTAAAAACTAAAAGCAACCAAGATGTATTTCAATAAGTGAATTTTTATAACACACTGTGGTATATCTGTAATGCCTGAGGTTCTTGCCTAGCCACACCAAAGAATTGGTGTGCTAGCTGACCACGGCGAGTGATAGAGACATGGACCGAGAGCGAGAAAAAACTGTAAGCTTTATTAAGCAGAGTGAAAGTACAAAGCTTCCACAGCATGGGAGGGGTCCTGAACGGGTAGCCACTGTTGGTTTTGGGTGATTGCCTTTTAAACTCTTTAAAGCGGGAGATACATGAGGTGGGAAGCTTGTTACAGGAGCCGGAAACAAAGGCAGTAAATTATTTTGTGACATGTCTTAGATTTTGAGGAAAACCGGAATTGCAACTTAGGTTTTATCTACTTTAGGACCTTGCAGCAGCATGGCAAAGGAGACAGGATCTTACAGGACTTTACAAAGTATGTTTACAAGGAATCTGAATTGGGAGTGTAGATAAGGTCCACTGGTCACAGAAAAATGAGCAGTTAACATTCCTTTATTTTAGTTTCAGGGGCGGGGGAAGGGAGAGAGGGAGAGAAGATACAGGGAAACTTACAGCAAATTTTTCACTGTTTATAGCTTTCTTGGGGAAGAAAACACATGCACGAATCCTGGTGTTAGGAATATTTTAAGCGTATATCTTCAATATTATTCATCCAGGACTGAAGTAAGTCCTGATGCAGGAAATGAGTGAGTTTCACAGCTTTCTGAGCCCCTACTTGACCCAGGAAGCCCAGCTGGCACCTCCTCTCAGTCCTGCCTCTAAACAGGACACCCCAACTGCTGTTGGGAACCGTGTGGCAGTCGTTCTGGCTACTTCCTGCTGGTTAGGGGTGAAGAAGGGGCCCTGCAGTTTGGTGTCCTCCAGAGGGGAATTTTCTAGGGTAATTGAGGGACCAGCGGGTTGATCCAGGGGTCCTCGGTAGAAGCCGTGAGCTGAGCTCATTTGAGGTTCCATTTGTAAGATCATTTGTAGCTTGATGGCTTTGATCCTGGAGGGAACAAATTTGACAAGAGGTTAAAAATGCAAGGCCCAAAGGCGAGTAATAGTAGGATGGCTGTCACAGGTCCTAGAAAGGGGAGGAGCCAAGGTATCCATTGGTTAAACATATTCAAGGGTCCTGAGTGTTCAAGCTCCTTTTTCCTACTTTCTATCTGTTCTTTTATTTCTTTGACCTTTTCAATAATGATTCCCAACTGGTTAACAAAATAGCAACATGAACTGGGAGTTAGAGTGCAGGGGAATGCAGAAGAAGGCATCTTTGAGGTCCAAAACAGTGAACCATTCTTTCTCTGGTATTTGAGAGAGCAGTGTATAAGGGTTGGGTACAGCAGGATATAAACGAATTACTGCCTCACTGATGATTCTGAGGTCTTGCACTAGTCTCCACTGGCCATTTGGTTTTTGTATTCCTAGGATTGGGGAGTTGCAATGACTGCTGCATTTTCTTACTAATCCTTGAGTTTTTAAATGTCTGACAATATCCTGTAATCCTTTGAGAGCTTTAGGCCTTAAGGGATATTGCCATTGATAAGGAAAAGTGGTGGAGTCTTTTAGCCTGATTTGAACTGGATGGGTATTCTTTGCCCTTCCAAATTGTCCTTCCAAGGCCCAGACTTCAGAATTGATTCCTTCTTCAAGGAAGGGACAACAAATGGGTAATTTGTTCCCCATATTCATGTAGATAATAGTCCCAGCTTTGGCTAATATGTCCCTCCCTAATAAGGGTGGGAGTTTCGGGCATAACAAGAAAGGCATGTGAAAAGAGCAAAGTCTCCTAATTGCAGCTGAGGAGGCGAGAGAAATACCTGGTTACAGACTGTCCTAAGATTCCTTGGATAGCAACGGACTTTGAGGACAGTCATCCTGGGCAGGAGATTAAAACTGAGAAGGCTGCACCAGTGTCCAGGAGGAAGTCCACTTTGTGGCCCTCAATGGTCAAACTTACCTGGGGCTCTGTGAGGTTGATGGCATGAGTGGGTGCTTGCCCCAGGCACCCTCAGTCATGTTGCTGAATCATCTGGTTGGGTGCTTCTGTCCTAGAGGGTCTTCATCCTCTGGGGCAGTGTGCCTTCCAGTGATTGCCTTGGCATATTGGACATGGGCAAGGGGGCAGTTTGTTTCTGGTTGGACAATCTTTCTTAAAGTGTCCTTGGAAACCGCAATGATAACAAGCCCTACTAGGCAATTGGCCTGCTCCTCTTTTGGTTCCCTGTGAGCCACCAAGGTCTGCCTGTCTGAGAGCCATGACTAAGGCTGCAGTCTTTCTCTTATCTCGCTTTTCCTTTTTGGCCTGCTCCTCTTGGTCCCTGTTACAGAACACCAAGGTTGCCAGGTTTAGTAATGCCTCCAAATTTTGTTCTGGGTCTAAAGCAGACTTTTGGAGTTTTCTCCTAATATCAGCTGCTGCTTGGGTGATAAATTTATCCTTTAGAATAAGTTGGCCTTCCAGGGAATCTGGAGTTAGGGAGGTATGCTTTCTTAGGGCCTCCCTTAGCCTTTCTAGAAAAGTGGAGTAGTTTTCCTCTGTTCCCTGTATAATTGTGGATAGCATTGAGTAGTTCATAGGCTTGTTCCTAGTCTTCCTTAACCCTTCTAAAATGCAAGTTAGCAAATGCCTGTGGCTCTAATCTCCATGATCTGAGTCAGTATCCTAATGAAGGTCTACAGTGGGGACTGCCTGTTGCCCTGTGAGGAATTTTTCCCTCTCCTCCAGGGCCATTCAATCGTTTACCTGGCTAAGTTAGCACAGATCCCCAAATTGCTGGGCTGCTGTTAAAGCTGCTTCCTTTTCAGTAGGACTTCAGGTCTGATCAAGAAGTAACATGATATTTCTCCATGTTAGATCAAAGGACAGCCCTAATCTTTGCAGGACATCTATATAGCTATCAGGATCACCTGAGAATTTTCCCAAATCTGCCTTGATTTGTTTTAAATCTGATAGTTAGAAAGGGACATGCAGGTGAATGGGCCTAAATTTTCTTCCTACTGTTTATAAGGGACATAGTTTGGGTGTCTGGCTCGTGGAGTTTACATTTTCTTTCCAGTGTGCCTTTAACACTTTGGTGGGGCCAGATGGAAGAGAGTCAGTGGGGGAGGAGAGTGAGGCTGAGGGAAGAGGCCCTGAGTATGGAGGTAATTGTGGGCCTCTGTCATTTGGGCAAAGCTTGCAGGCTTGGCACAGGGCAGTATTGTCACGAAGGGCAAAGAAAGCCTGTACGTAAGGGACTTCACTCCATTTACCTTCCTGTTTACAGAAAATCTAGTTGTAGAAGGATGTTATAATTAATATTTCCCTCAGGGAGCCAAGTTTCTCCATTTTGTAAGGAATACTGTGGCCAGGCAGTGGTACAGAAGAAAATCAGTGGCTTCTTTTTTAAGGTTTCAGGGTCGAGTTTGTCCTAATTATTCAGGATACATCTTAAGGAAGTGTCTGGTTTTGAAGGTGTGGTGCCCATATGGAATTTTAACACAGGGGTGCCTACACCTCTAGTTAGTCCTCGGACTCGTCTTCCCTTAGGGCATCCCCTAAGGGTCAGGTCCATTTATGCTCAAAGCTCATGGCCACTTTTCCTGAGCTCTCCATCTACCGGATTTAACCATGCTTACCGGTGGGATGGAAACTTCCCTTGCCCCTGCCGTGCACCCACTGACCACTAAATGGGGCACAAGGACTGTTTGATTTATTGTGGTCCTTCTGCCAATGTGTCCTACCTGTTCCAGAGTGGCAAGTCCTGGGTCTGGGGTGCCACTGATGTTTGCATACTAAGGCCCAATTTATGAGAGCCTGGCCATGGGAATCTCTGAATTAGTGACAGGAGGCTTAATTAGCTTAAAGGTGGTGGTGGATGTCCTCTAGGCCAGGACCAAGAGAACAGCTGCTGTACTTTAGCCCTCTGTCTCCACTTGCCATCAAAGGAGTAAGCCCCTCTCTTAAGGTGGTACTAGTATCCTGTGTCCCAACTGACTATATTTTCTTCCATCCAATACCAATTATTGAATGGTTGAAACAGCAATTCAATGGCTCTAAGACCCGTGCCTATGCACCACAGATTGTACTCGAGAGGCCCCAAGGAACGGGAAAGTTTATTTGGGGAGCAATGGAAAAAATGCCCTAAGGCTTCTACTATCCACATGAAAATTACAGACCTGTCTTTAAATTGTCCTGATGTGGGGGACCATACACTATGGTGGGGAACTGGCCCTTCAAAATAGTCATCAAATGGTGACACCTGTCTAAACCCTGGAGGGCACCATGAACAGGGATCTTCTGGGCACCACCCCAAGAATTTAAGACTTCTAAACAGGAAATCTTGATCCTGCCTAGAGGGAATAATTTTGCTTTCAAGGTGAGGAAAGAAGTTTAACTGGCAGACAATAGGGCCCAGGAAGCGGGAGTCAGATGTGGCTGTCTCACGCCCAGTAATCCATGCAGTGGGAGCCTCTGGCGGGGCCATGGTCTCAACCAAGATATCTGGGAGACCAAGACGTCTGCTGATCACTCCCAGGTGTACTTCGGGACCACCATGAAAAGCAAAAGAGTTAGAACTGGTTTCGGACAAACCAATGCTCCTGACCCCAAAGGGTCGGGGGTTGTCAGAGAACCCTTTCCAAGACAGCCTTGACACCTGTGTCTTTAGTCTGGTCGCTGTGCTATTCACCTTTAAGTCGCAGACAGGTGCCCAGTATTTAGCCTCCTAATTCTAAGGAAGGACAGGACAGAATAGCAAGTGAAAGAGGTCCAATTGTACTCACTGCATGATGATCTAGATACCTTTTCTGGAGTCTCCTGTCTGGCTCGCCAAGATGTAACACCTGAGGTTCTTGCCAAGCCACACCAAAGAAATGGTGTGGAAGCTGACCACAGTGAGTGAAAGAGACATGGACTGAGAGTGAGAAAAAGCTGCAGGCTTTATTGAGCAGAGTGAAAGTACAAAGCTTCCACAGTGTGGAAACAGTCTTGAATGGGTAGCCACGGTTGGTTTTGGGTGATTGCCTTTTAAACTCTTTAAGGCGGGAGATACGTGAGGCAGGAAGCTTGTTACAGGAGCGAGATCAACAAAGGCAGTAAATTATTTTGTGACATGTCTTAGATTTTGAGGAAAACCGGAATTGCAACTTAGGTTTTATCTACTTTAGGACCTTACAGCAGCATGGCAAAGGAGACAGGATCTCACAGGAGTTTACAAAGTATGTTTACAAGGAATTGGAATTGGGAGTATAGATAAGGTCCACTGGTCACAGAAAAACAGGCAGTTAACATTCCTTTTACTTTAGTTTCAGGGGCGGGGGAAGGGAGAGAGGGAGAGAGGACACAGGGAAACTTACAGCAAATTTTTCACTGTTTATAGCTTTCTTGGGGAAGAAAACACATGCACAAATCCTGGTGTTAGGAATATTTTAAGCATATATCTTCAGTATTATTCATCCAGGACTGAAGTAAGTCCTGATGCAGGAAATGAGTGAGTTTCACAGCTTTCTGAGCCCTTACTCAACCCAGGAAGCCCAGCTGGCCCCTCCTCTCACATCCATACTGTTGATTATGATTCAACAATAAAAAGAGGAAATAGGCCACAAAAAGACGTGAATAAATTATAAATGCATATTGAAGCCAGACTGAAGAAGCTACATACTTTACTATTAAACTATGACATTTTGGAAATGGCAAAACTATAGAAATAGTAAAAAGATTAGTATTTTTCTAGGAGTTCTAGGAGAGGGGCAGTGGACTGAATAGGTGAAGCATAGGAGATTTTTTTTCTAGAGTGGTAAAGCTAATCTGTATGATAATATAATGGTGTATAAACAACCCTATATATTTTCAAACTGTAGAACTTTACAACACAATGTAGGAGCCTTGATGGATGCAAATTTTAAAAGTAATTTCTGGTTAGGCACGGTGGCTCACGTCTATAACCCCAGCACTTTCGGACACCAAGGTGGATGGATCACCTGAGGTCAGGAGTTCAAGGCCAGCCTGAGCAATCTGGTGAAATCCTGTCTCTAATAAAAATACAAAAATTAGCCTGGCGTGGTGTTGGGCGTCTGTAATCCCAGCTACTTGTTAGGCTGAGGCAGGAGAGTCACTTGAACCCAGGAGGTAGAGGTTGCAGTGAGCCAAGATCGTGCCATTGCACTCCAGCCTGGGTAACAGACTGAGACTCTGTCTCAAAAAAAAAAAAAAAAAAGTAATTTCTGAGATTGGGATATTTCAGTGCAGAATGCAGGAGTGACAACACAGTCTCCTTCTGTTCAACATGTATGAAACAATCTCACTGAAGAAGGTGCTGGGGGTATGGTGTCAATCTAAGTAACTGGAAATGAGTATCATGTGTAAGATTAAAGGCTAAAGAAATCATATGAACACTGTAAGTATTAAACTGTGTTCCATGGGGATACAGATTCACAATTCTGAAACCATTATATATAGTTCAGTTGTAGCATATATATATATATATATATGCTATAATCATATATGTAAGATATATAATTATTCAATTACAACACATATATACTGCAATTATATAATATATATTTGAACATATAATATATGCATATATAATTACATATTATATACACATACATATAATTATATATGTATATATAATATATACAATTATATATAATTGTAATATATAATACATATAATATATAAAATATATTCAACTATAGCACATATTTAATATGTATAATTATATGTGCTATGATTGAACAATTAAATACATAAATGGTGAACTGTGAGAGCCAGGTTTCTCATTCTTGGAATGTTAGTTTATAGGTAAGCATTTAGTAGAAGCTAGAATGATTCATGTGATAATATAATTTTTAGAGTTAGGGGCCCACAAATAAACTCATATTTAGTTCAATAGAGATAGTTTCACATAGACATGTTTATTGATACATATGCATACATGGGTTAGTAGTCATACATATGTTTCCTTGCTCTGTCAGTTGAGAACCCCAGAGGCAATGACATTCCAGTATCAGTGACCACACCAAGTGCCTAAATCTTGATTTTTAATATTATTCTTAAAAAGAGGAAGGAGGGAATCTGGAGAGAAGTGGCTGATTCCAGGACTGAGAAAGAAAAGTTATTTAAGATGACCTTGAAAGAAGAAAGTGCTCAAATAAAAAATGAGCTCATAATAATGAGAGTGTGTCAAAGGAACACAGGAGCCAACTAAAAGAGCTATCAATGGCCAAAGCTGAAACAGTTTCAGCAACAAAATATGTAATTGTACTATTCGATTATAAACAAAAGTATAAAATGAATATCCATGAGTCCATACTGATATAAATAATTGAATAAATAAATAAATGGAAGCAAAGAGGCAAATTTGTGCAGAAGAATTACAAATAACTTATGTAGACATTATGCTGCATTAGTATTAAGTGTGGGCTGCTTGTAGTGACCTCTTTCCAATGAGTACAGTAAGGAAATGATATAAAAAAGAATAACTATTCAGTGGAGAAACATGACAAACTACCTCAAGCAGGTGATCAAGGTAAACAGTGATGTCATGTAAATATTATGAACCATTTGTATATGATGGAATTGGTAATTTATCTCGGTCATCTTCTTCTCAAAAACCCATAACCCTAAAGTAATGATGAGAAAAATCAACAGACAAATCTCACGTGAAGAATGTTTTATAAAATACATGACCATGATTCTTCATAGCTATCAATGTAATCAAAAACAGGAAAGGCCTGAAAAACCTCACAGTCAAGAGAAGACAAAGAACACACAATGGCTAAATGTAATGTGGTATCTGAGATGAGATTCTGAAACAGCAACAAAAAAAATTAGGTAAAAAATAACAAAATGTGAATGAAGTATGGATTTCAGTTAATAATAATGTGTCAGTATTGGTTCATTAGCTATAACATGTACTGCAGTAATGGAAGATGTAATGATAGGGAAAAGTGGATATGGAGAATGTGAGAACTCTGTACTATCTTTGCAAGTTTTTGGTAAATCTAAAATTGCTCTACAATGAAAAGGTTTTATATTAATATAAAAATGAGCTAGGACCTGAAGAATAAAAAGAACACAGAATATTCTAGGTAAGTTTTTTTCAGGCAGAGAAAATAATAAGAATAAAGTATCTTGGATGAGTGTAGTGTAGCGAATTCAAATAATAGAAATAAAATTAATTGGTATGGAAAGATGGAAGTAATATAAGTATCTCCAGGTATGTAGATGATTATGAAGAACTTAGCATATTTAACCAAACCACTGCAACCTTGCATGATGTTGCCATTTCTTAACATTCATTATGGGATCTCTTGTCATAACAGACAAAACTCTAGATTCTTGATTTTATATTTTAAGTTAATAGCACCCGAAAGTTTGATGACTCAATAAGCTATATTTGTTATGCCAGAACGAACAGATGGTATAATGCTTCAAAAACATGATGGTTCACTTAGGCAGCATTCCCTGATGGCATAATTCATATTTCAATAATTTAGCAAGTTAATTGAGGAATAACTCAGAATTAACTATTTAGAAAATAAAATTAGCATCCAAATTGACACAGCAAATTAAATCCTAAAAGAAATGAAATGCAGTGGCTGAGAGGATCATAAAAAATGCTAACAAATGGGATTATGTAGCAGCTTTGCAGTTTCCTGTTATTTGGCAAGGAAAACCTAGAAGGCCATTTTTATGTCTGGGTCTAATAGTAGATATATAAAATTACATGGATCAAGAAGTAGGAAATAGCATAAATGTTTGATTCAACTCATTGTAAATAATTCTCTTCATTTTCTAAAGAATAGTAAAATTTTTATGTAATTTTAAACAAGTATAGCCTGGTATCATTGGGTAATGTGTCACAAATAAAAATTAATATTATTCTCAACAACTTTTAGTCTAATTTCATGTGTTTTCTAGAATTGACATAACACGACTTGAACTCCTGATTTAATGCATCTTATGGTCTTGCTTATCATTGTTCACAAGTTAATTTATTTGAAAACGTGCTAAATAAAAATTCTGAAAAGGCAGAAGATGTGATTTGTAGAGTCTGAGAATAGTATGACATGCTTACAAGCCAACAAGATATTCTTCTGAGCTGGTACATATGTTTTATTAGGTTACTGGAGTAAAATACATTTTTTCTTTGTAATTTTATGCATTTAGTGAGATTATATAATTCATTCATTTCTATTTTTTTCCTAGTATTTTAAGTATTTCACTTTTTATGTATAGTTTCATATTGACATAAGAAGTAATAGTGGAATTCCATTTCGTTTTCCTACATTATTGTTCAGCTGCCTCATCACCATTTACTGAGCAATTCATACGTTCAAATAACCATGTAATGCTTCCTTTATTATGTAATCAGTGCCCCTCTCCCATGTCTTTTCATCTGTCCAAGCACCACTTAGTTAAAGCCTTTAAACTTCAGTTCCTTTATTGTGATAACCCAATGAAGTGGTCACTGTTTTTATAATTTTCTTACAGATGAAGCAAATGAGGTATAAAAATAATAATTAATATATCCAAATTCATAACTTACAAAGTGATGATAAACTAATTACTAATATCTCTTGAATATTAGTCATTAGTTACATTAGAACATTTTTAGATATTGGAGTTTCTCTCTAACTTAATTTTTAGATATCGGAGTTTCTCTCTAATTTCTAGTTTATTTTGTTTATTTATATGACAACCACTTATCTGTCACCAGAAACTATTCTAAGCAACTTACAAATATTAACTTACAGCAATCTTATGAAATCTACATTAATTTTATTTCTAGTTACTATGGGGACACTGAGGCATAGGGAGGTGAAAAAGTTTTCCGAAGGTCATGCATTCAAACTCAGGGAGGGAGACTATAGTCTGTGCTTTTAACTATTATGTTCTGTTGCTTCTGATCCTTTGATTTGTCCAAATAATCAAGGTAATTTATATATCTAAAGAAGATGAAATAAGAGACATCTTACTTATAATGCAGAGTAGTTATACTCTTCAAAAATATCACAACATAAGAATTTGCAAGGCCAGGAGTGGTGGCTCACATACTTGTAATCCCAGCACTCTGGGAGACCAAAGCAGGAGGATCGCTTGAGCCCAGGAGTTTGAGACCAGCCTGGGTAGCATACTGAGGCCCCATTTCTACAAAAAATTTTAAAAATTAGCTGGGTATGGTGGCATGTGCTTGAAGTCCCAGATACTCCAGAGGCTAAGGTGGGAGGATCACTTGAGCCTGGGAGGTGGAAGCGTGAGCCGTTATCATGACACTGTACTCCAGCCTGGGCAACAGAACAAGGCCTTTGCTCTGAAAATAAAAAATATGCACGATAACTAAAGACATTGGTATAAATTTCTAAAAATGATATACCTATATGTCAGCAATAATTAATTATTAAAATGCAATGAATAAGTACTCTAATAGAGGAATTTAAAGCATCATAAGATAGAAAAAGTAAAAGAAAGGATCTAAAAAGAGATAAAACATATGTAAAGCATGGAAGCCTGCTTTTTTCGTTCAAAGATAATTATATGCGAAATTAAAATTTATGTTTCCTCTCTTTTTTTCTCCAAGCCTGAATTAGATCTTGTATGGCTTGAAATGGAAAGATGTTCTGTAAGAAAAAAGAAAAACCATTTTAGATAGCATAGTCTCCTGCAAGGGGATTCTCTCTAGATTAAAGTGATTTTCCCACTACTAGTTTAGATACAGAAATCTATTTTTCTTTGAAGGGGTGCATGCAGCTGTCTCCTGAAGGTTATACACTATCCAGAGGATCTTTTGGTTTTCCATATTCAGATGTTTGGTTCAACACAGACCAACCCTCTTCTATATAATAAGGAGACACATGGGTTAATGCTCATGTATCTCATGTGTTTCTACTTATTTATTTATTTATTTATTTATTTATTTATTTATTTAGAGAAGGAGTTTCGCTCTTGTTGCCCAGGCTGGAGTGCAATGGCATGGTCTTAGCTCACTGCAACCTCCACCTCCCGGATTCAAGTGATTCTCTTGCCTCAGCCTCCTGAGTATCTGGCATTACAGACGCCCACTACCACGCCCGGCTAACTTTTTGTATTTTCAATAGAGATAAGGTTTCACCATGTTGGCCAGGCTGGTCTCAAACTGTGGACCTCAGGTGGTGCACCCGCCCTGGCCTCCCAAAGTGCTGGGACTATAGGCGTGAGCCACCACACGCAGCCCCCCATGTGTTTCTTTAAAGCTAAGTCTTCTCCAAGAACTGAAGGTCTGGAATGACAATGACTAAGACTAAATACTTAAAATAATAATTTTACATATAATGTCTGTAAATGTAAATACATAGTTACAGGGGGAGATTGTTAGCTAATCAACCAGTCTGATTCCTCTTCTTCCCGAGTATGAAATGGGATGATGTTTTCCAGTGTCTTTTATGTAAGCTGTGGCCACTTGCCTGGGTGATATATACCCTTACGAACCTCTGTTTTGTCTATCTAGCGTGGAGACAAATCTCAGAGCTATGTTATGAGCTATGAATTGAGGATAATGAAATCACGGGATAAAATGACCCTGGGTCCCTAATACACACATGGAGGAGAACTGCTCACCACTAATGGATACCTATTTAGAATTTAGGGAGTCAGAATGAAATTTTTATTATGTTAAATTACTGACTCCTCGGAGTCTGTTGGAGCAGCCAGAGTTACTTTCAGGGGTAGATTCTCTCATATCTAATTTCATATTATACTATGTTATGAATCAAGAAACTTAAGGTCAGGCGTTAATGAGCTGCTCATCAATGTTCTATGTGGGAAATCTGATATTTGTAGCTAGATTTTCTGAATCCAAATTTTTGGTGTTTTTTCCTATGCCAAATTGTCAAATGTTGGTTTCGAATATGTTTAAAAGCTCAGGTCCTAGGGCCAGAGAAGCAGCTATTTAAATAATGATTCTAACCATTACTAAGAGTATGAGCTTTCAATTATTTAACTTTTCAAGCCTCCATTTCTCTATTTGGGGATAATAATAGCTTTCAGCATATGTTGTGAGAATTAAGAAATATACTTCAAGTAAAAGCTTATTAGAATGATTGAACATAATGCCAATAAATAGTGAAATAATAGCAGTCCCTTTGGTGCTTAATGATGAGTTTTCTAATGTTGAAAAATTTGGGAACTTACCCTCTCTTCCTTTCCCTATGAATACATTCTCTTTTCTTCTGTTTTTAGTCCCAGATTTTTGTATAAATAATCAGTTTTCAAACTTGGTACTATCAAAAGTTTTCTAATATTAGTACTAGCTCTTTGTATAAATAATTAGTTTCCAAATGGCACAAAATTATCTACTGAGCTTTTATTTTCTAAGAAACAGACACATTACACTAAAAAATAATCTCAAATTATAAATAATATACATAAACTTACGGAGTAAAAATGAAAATTTTCCTTTTGTTTCTCATTATAAGAATTTGCTATCATAATGCTAATAACTGAAGTATATCATGATATATATACAGTGTGTATGTTTTTATTTTTATTGAATTTTTTATTTGACTTTAAATGTATATAAATATAAATTTAAAAATTCACAAATTTTAACAGTCCAGTTTTTTCTTATTAAAGCAATTTCAGTGAAATTTTAAGTTTTTTTAGATCAATTCATTATTTACAAGACATTTTACCAAACAAAAAATGTATATGTATATATAGTAATTACATGTATGGATATATAGTTGCATATTATAATGATTAATTAAATGTTGTTTATAGAATATTAAAATGTATAATTACATACATTTTGTAGATATAATCATGCATATTTCAAGTAAGATAAAATATTAAAACAAAATAAATACACCCTGTATATATAATTTTATTGTTTAGTAGGAAGTCTTGTAATAGTAAGGAGATAATGTGGAAAACATTAAAAACTTAAAAAGAACTGTATATGTTATGCTTAAATTGCTTAAATTAAGGAAGGGCTGCAAACTGCAGACTTAAAATTTTGAGCTGATGTTTTCATCAAGGTAATTGAAGTTCTACCTGCTGTTAATGCCTAAGTGTTAACACAACCACATCAAAATAAAATACAGTAAAGAGAGAGTAAGGGTGAGAAGTCTGGGGATGAGTTTGAGAAAAGTAACAAAGCATCCCCAGAGTGTAGTGTTTGTGAGCTTTCACCATGGCATACCATGGCCAGGGCCACAAAGTGCAGAAGGTGACGCCATAGCCCAAATGTCACTTCGGATACTTGCAAAATAGTGCCTGTGTGGCTCTGTAAGCAAATAAATATGCAAATAATGAGCTGTATCATTGGTTTCAATTAACATATGAAGCTTGCATTAGATGATGAGGAAGAGATTATTTTAAAGCAGTGAAGAAAACAACTAGATTACATTATGCTAAAAGGAGATATTATTGCTCTGGTATAAAATGTCCCCAACTGTTATAGAAATGATCAATGAAGTGAGAAATTGTTGAGGAGGCAATGCAGTTTTTGTTTGCTTGTTTGTTTAAGGTGTCCTTTGTTGCAAATGGAGTTCATTCTAAAACATTTGTTTCTATTGTTTTGATTAAATTTATATCATCAGATCACAATAAATGCTGTTATTTTATTTTATTATTTGTTTTAAGTATAGTCATAGGACTGGTTTTGGGGTTGGAAATCCTTTAAATTGAGAATGCTGATCCATTATGCTGCAGTACTTCTTAGGTTCCCCAAATCTCCAAAATATTACTTACTGGGCCATGGGTGTAAATGCGTAAGATATTTGGTATATACTCATTACTTCCCTTGTCCTACCTGAGTGGGAAGGAACCTCAGGGTTAGGAGATGGTAGAACTCATTTTTCCTGTGTGTTAAATTTGTGAATTACCCTGTATTTTGCTGATCCTTAAAAAGATTAACCCAATCAAAAGATTTAACATGGTTGAAAGTAAGATCAATGAACAAACCTCAACCTTGACTGGTTCTCACTCTACATACTACAAGGAATGACTGCTAACAATTTGAAACACCTATCAATATTTTTTTCTATGCCTTTTTATACATACATACTTTGTGTATAAATGTGTGCATATGCATATTAATACATATATACATATTTTGTAACTATTATTACATCATATATTGTTATGCAACCTACATTATTTTATGATATATTTTAAAGGTATTTCTGTCGTAAACGTAAGTCTATGCCACTCTATTTTTACTTCTGATGTAGATTTCATATCATGTAACCAGTCCCTTTTTAATGGGAATTTAGTTGTTTCTATATTTTTACTATTTCAAACAATGCTATAAAGAATAGTTTTTGGGCTTGGTGTAGTGGCTCATGCCTGTAATACTAGCACTTTGGGAGGCCGAGGGGGGCGGATAACTTGAGGCCAGGAGTTTGAGACCAGCCTGGCCAACGTGTCAAAACCCCTTCTCTACTAAAACAACAGAAATTAGCCCAGGCATGGTGGCACATGCCTGTAATCCCAGATATTCAGGAGGCTGAGGCATGAGAATCGTTGTGCCCAGGAGGCAGAGGTTGCAGTAAGGGGAGATCCTGCCATTGCACTCCAGCCTGAGTGACAAAGGGAAACTGTCTCACAAAAAAAAAAAAAAAAGAAATTGTTTTTCATTGGCAAATATATGAGTATTCCTATAGTATAAAATCCTAGATATAGTAGAATTGTTAGATTATAGGTCATACATGCATTTCACATTTTGAAAAATGGAATAAATTGCCTTCTAAAGAGTGGTATTTATTTACACATATAGTTATCAGCGCTAGATTTTAAAAATATTTTAAATGTGTACAAATCTAATTGCAAAAAAGGGAAATAACATGTTATTAATTTGAAGAAACATATTAGAAATTAATACTTTGTGTTTAATATTTTCAAATAATTTTGCTAGTGGTTGTTTACTTTTGAAATTTATTTTTTTTTTAAAATACCTGGACTATATAACAGCTGCTCCATTTTACATTCCCACCAGCAATGTATGTGGGTTTTAATTTCCCCCCAACCTTACTAACGCTTGTATTATCCCTTTCCCCTGCATTGTAGCCATCCTACCAGTTGTAAAGTGGTATTTTGGCGGTTTGATTTGCATTTTTTTCTAATGATTAATGATGTTGGGCATATTTTTATGTGCTTATTTTCCATTTGCATATCTTGTTTGGAGAGATGTCTATTTAAATCAGTTACTCAATTTTTAATTGGGTTATTTTCTTATTTTTTCGTTTTAAATGTTTTTCTATATCTGGATATATGTCCCTTATTAGATATATGATTTACAAATATTTTTTGAAATAGTTGTGAAGAATTGGTGTTGTTTCTCCTTCAAACATTTTAAAGGATTTGCCAGTGAAGACATCACTTTGCAGGCTTTTCTTTGTGGGAAGATATTTTAAGCTTTTCCTGTTCACCTTGTTGGTGAATAGGACTAGACTCCTGTTCTAGTGTCTTGGAGGTAGCTGAACTCATGAGACCTAACACTGGGAAGATGAGATCTGCAGCAGTTTAGTAGTCAGATAGACCCACATGCTGAGGGAAAAGGACATCTCACATCATGCAGGACCACATGGGGGTTACATTCAGGAATAGAGTAAGCAACCAGCAGCTGTAGTATCAATAGGGTGAGATGCTCCCTGGCTTCCAAGAGAGGATGGGATTGGCTTGCTTGAACAATTCCACAGGCCAGAAGGGAACCAAAACTCAGCACTCAGGAATAAGCAGGAACTGTGCCTGCCTTTTTGATAGTGAAGGTTGTTGGGCCAGGGGCTTTATCTCCAGGAGTAGAGTGAGGAGGGAAGTTGTAGTTATGTCATTGAAGGCTCTCCAGATTTTACCAAATATCAAGGAAGCACATAGTATTGAGCCTTAATTTTAAACCTTACACTACAGAAGTTTTGGTTACTAATTCATTTCTCTTATGTGTGACAGGTCTGTTCAGAAATTCCATTTGTTCTTGCATCCTTTTGGGTGATTTGGGCTTTTCTAGGATATTGTCTGTTTCATCTGTTTATCTAATTTGTTGTCAATTTTTTTCATAGTATTCTCTCATTATTTTTATTTCTGTAAGTTTTACAGTAATAACCCCTCGTTAATTTCTGATTTTTGTAATCCAATCCTTCTCTCTCTCTCTTGCCCCTTTTTTTATGGCCCGTGTAGCTAAAGGTATGTCATTTTGTTGATTGTTTCAGAGAACTACTTTTCGGTTTCATTGTTTTCCTCTATTATTTTAATATTCTGTATTTTACTTATTTCTGCTTTTATATTTCTTTCTTTGCTTTGCTTTCATTGTGTTTACTTAGCGAACATGTTTCCAGTTTCTTAAAGTGGAAGTTGGTTTTTTTTTTGAGATCTTTCTTCTTTCTTAATATAGACTTTCACAAAAATAAGTTTTCTATTAGTACAGCTTTTAAAAAATATTCTACAAGTTTAATATGTTGTATTTTATTTTTTCTAAAGTACATTCTAACTTCTCTAATAATTTATTCTGTGACCCATTAGTTATTTAGAATTGTGTTGTTTAATTTTCATGTTGACAGTCTTTTTCTATGAGTACTGTGAATATGTCATTGCACTGTCTTCTGGCCTTCATGATTTCTAACAACTTAAATTCCAAAAGTGTTTCTCTCCCCAAATACATTTTAAATGTTTGCAATCATCTGGATTTGAAGAGGGTTATTTACTGGAGCACGGGCTAGTGACCAGCTTGAAAAGCATTTCATTTGGTTACACAGTGGTGCAAATTGATGTTTTGAGCTGCCTTGGATGAGCTGCCCTGGATGAGCTTCTAATTAGTGGGCAGGCCTGCGATACCTAAATCGCCACATCTTTCTTTGTGCCAGAAGATGAATATGCTATTTTATGTAGTTCCCAAATGTATTCGAAATGCTATTTTATTTAGTTCTAAAGTCTTTATTCCCTGGCTCCTAATATGAATAATGAATAAATCAATACATCTAAAATAAGCAAATGTGTATAATTCTGTATTTTGCACTGACTTAGCTTTGTTAATTGTGAATTATTAAATGAAAATGAGAAATGTTTTAAAAGTACAATAACTTTAATATTAAAACCAGGCTTCTTTTTTCTTTTTTTATGTAAGCTACATCTAGAGAATAAAATTAGGTTTAATCCCCATGTTTATTATTACATTTTTACTTTAAAAATGGTAAAACTTCAAATCACTTTGTGAAATAAGCATGTTAGAATCATAGCACTACAGAGTTATTAAAGCTATAAAACCCTTAGGAGCAAGTGATAAGAAAGGAGTGTCATCAGGTAATGAATTATTTCTTTACAAAATATCCTAAATTGTCTTTAGAAAGGAGGGCTTCAATATAGGTTTTCAATTCAAGGAGCGTGGCTTTTTTTTTTTATTATAGTGACTTAAGACGTACTTGTTTTTAAGTCTCTCTTAGAACATTTGTTTATTTATTATGCAACTCTAGAAAATGTTTATTTCTGGGGAATGAATGAAATGGCCTATATTTTATTCATAACTATGTCAGTACAGCAATCTCTAGGGTATTTGGAAAATTTGATATGATAGCAGTAATAATCCATAGCATTTTAGTCATCAAATGAACAGAATCTTGCTGTATCCTGATTGAACAGTGATACATAATAAAACTTTTTTAACATTTGAATTTCACAATAATGTCACCTGAACACTAGATTATTAAGTTAAACTGGAGTCTGTTTTTATCTTCTTGTAAATGAGGTCACTTCTTTGGAAGCGACAATTTATGTTTTACAGCCTCTTACTAGGTGTGTGACCTTGAACAACTTGTAGAACAAGGAATCTCTGGAATAAAAGGAATTTTAAAGGTTATTCACAGAATGCATAAATCCTCTTTCTTGAGAACCCCTACAGAGTAGTCATTTTGTTTCTACTTAAATATTTTCAATAACAGGGAACTTACTATGACCAAATGAACTCAAACTGTTTTCAGACAACTCTAAGTAGTAAGAATTCTGTTTGTTCATTTTGTTCCTTTTATTGTTTCCTTAACACTGGAAAAGGTGATAACAACAGGTGCCTATTTAAGGACAAAATATATATTGTATATAAAAAATAAAATGTACACAGTGAAGCTTGGATACAACTGTGAAATACTCTAATTGCATATAGTGTAATAAACAACATTGTTTTTCACAAATATTTGCCTCTATTCTCCGGGGAACAATTACACTTCATCACCCATTTATATTAGTCTTGGCCATCTGACTTGTTTTGGCCTATGGAATAGGAATTGAAGTGACAGGTGTCACTTTGGGGAAGAATCTTTGAGAGCTAACACATGGTCCTATGTTCCCTTTTCCCGCTGTCCTGATGACCAGCAGTGCTTCAGATAGAATGCTCCCACATGCTGGATCCTGGAATGAAGACAATATGGAGTCCAGCTCTAGTTGATTCCAAATGCAGCTGTCACATAATTCTCTGAAATTTTTGGTGTTGTAACAAAAAAAAAATTATGCTTTTTAGATAATTTTTTGCAGACTTCTCATCACTGTGAGGAGACTCTCTTTTCCTTAGTCCCTATATGAACTTGATCTTCTGCATTGAAGAAGACAGGAAAGTTCACTTTTTTGTGCTGGCCACATAATATTTCGATAACTATATTATAGGGTCAAGTGGGTGTTTATTGGATGAATTGAGTAATTTTTCTCTAAATAGTGATATTTTATGATATTATTTTGATAAAAATTCATTTGGACTTGTTATACTCTTTCTGTAACTGAAGAGGTACAAATAAGGCTAACCTTCAGATCTGTGTTGAAAACACGGCAATATGTGGTTCCACAATAAGGGAGCAGAACTCAGCACGGTGAGGTTAAATAACTTCCTCAGAATAAATTAGAGATACTTGGAACTGGAGATTCTACTAAAGTGACAAGACTTTAGAATTCACTGCAGTTCTTATAGGACAAATATGAGACGGCTGAAAACAGCATGTCTCAACTGTCCTCACATGAATTAACCATCCTCACCATTCATCAGATGACTTAACAGCATCTGAGGAACTCTTAAGTCTCTAGGGCTAATGTTGTGATTGGACCTCCTGTCTATTAACATATTCCAATAATAGTGTCAACAAAATATCTTTTGCACCATTTTGGCTTGAAGGAAGTTCAATACTAGAGAATGATGTCAACAAAATTCCGAAGACATCGATCGCATAAAGACAACTTAATTGATGAAACAGCTGAGAGTACATGTAAAGATGTTGCATGGGAGCCCATCTTCCTCAGGAACCCCAGAGAAGATCTAAGCTTGATGTAAATTGATTTCAAAGGGTAGGAGTAAGAGGTGGGACTAATAACAATAAGATTAACTGAAACTCTGTGAGCAAGGTAGCTGTGTGCTTTAGCTACCTTATATAGTCTCCCTTTTCCTCCTTCCTTTATGCAGCCTGGCCCTTGCATTAAAAGCAACATAACAAAAACAAACACAAACAGATGAAAAAGAACAAGAGTCCTTCTCATTAAAGAAATTTAAATAACCTCTTTGGAAGAACTAGGGATATTAGCTTGGGTGTTACCATCTTAGAGTAAATAGCTCCTCAGGTGGTGCCTGGGGTGGTAGGAGCCAGCTGACTTGTCAGTTGTCTTCCTGATCTTGCACCTAAGGTAAGCCTCCCTGTGCAGGATAACCCTCCCATGTGTACTTGGACATTCCCTCAAGCTTTTCCATTCAGGGAAGAGATGTACAAGGGAAACAAAACCACTTATACCACAGCAAGCGAAACACAAATCAGATACCTAGAATAATCTTTTTTTTATTTCCTTTATAACATGAAAACAATGTAAGATCTTCAGGCATACAAGGAAAGATCAAGGTTAAAATAAAAACAGAATAACTTACCTTAAAGGACATATAAGACTGACAAAAGCTAAAAAGAAATACAACCTAATTCCTACCCTCAGTTATTTGAGAAGATACTGCATTCATAAAAAGCATAATATGCTAAGAAAAAGAAAAAGTCAAATAATATATAAGATTTCTGGGAAAATTAAAATATAATTGCTAATGTTTAAACATATTATATGAGTTTACATTTTAAGTTTAAGAAACTTTTCTGAACATCAGTCTAAAACACAAAGAGTTGAAAATGATGAGAAAAAGATGGAAATTTAAGAGGTCTATTCTGAAAGTATAACTTTCTACCGATTAGAGATCCTAAAAGAGAGAATAAAGAAAATGAAAGGGAGGGCTTAATTAAATAAATGACAGGATACCTCCTGGATTTGAAGAAAGGCACACAACTTTATTTGTTTAGAGACAGGATCCCATTCTGTCACCCAGGCTGGAGTGCAGTGGCACAATCTGCTCACTGCAGCCTTGACCTTCAGGGCCCAGGCAATTCTCCCACCTGTGCCTTCGAGCAGCTGGGACTACAGGTGCATGCCATCATGCCTGACTAATTTTTGTATTTTTTGTAGAGACGGGTTTCCACCATGTTGCCTAGTCAGTCTGGTCTTGAACTCCTCCTGTCAAGTTGTCTGCCTGCCTCAGCCTCCCAAAGTACTGAGATTGCAGGTGTAAGCCACTGTGCCTGGCCTAGGCATGCAAGTTTAGATCTAAAAGGGGATTTTAAAAAATCAAATTCTAGACTTAGTATGACAGAGTTTCCAAACTCTAAGCGTAAAGAACATAATTCTGAAAAACTTTGAAAAAAACATCATCTGCAAAGAAGGGAGTTCACAGTGTAGGATACCAGAATTTAGTGGTAGTAATCCCTTCAAAGTAATATGGGAAAATAATTTTAAACCTAAAATTATATATTCATAAACATATTAATCAAATATAAAGACTTAACAAAGCAACTTTAAGGTTTCAGAAAATGTAACTCACGTATTTTCTAAGGCAGGAACTGAGGATGAATTCCAGCAATACAAGGTAGAAAGCAAGAAGGGAAATACGGATTCTAGGAAATAGTTATCTTGATTCAGCAGAGAAATAAGTGGAAATTCTCAGATTATAGTGAGAGTACAATATATAACTAGCAAGAGAATAGTTATTTCATCGTTAATCTAAACATCAAAAAAGGGGATTTGGGGGCAATAGATATATTAAGGGATGTGACACTTTCAAGAATTTAATACAATCATTTGTTCTTGTCAGCAAGAAGAAAATAAAAGGCCATTGGCGACTTGTGAGGGAAGAGAGGAAATGTACAGTTAAGTCATTACCCAAGTCATTAAGAAGTAAAATAAAACATGGCATGATCCACTGAACAACTGGAGAAAATAAAATCCGCTTGACTTTGCACTTAGGAACACTTCCCTTCAAATATAATAGCACAGGTTTCCTGACCTTAGACCCTTAGAAAATATTATGCAATATTAATAAACCCCTTGATATTTGTACAGATATGTTAATGTAAAGTATTTTTATTGCTTTTAAACTTTGCAATCAATCTTTAGTAAAAACACGTATTATGTATTTGTTTATAAAAAATTAATGTTATCAGCCTTACCAATGTAAAAAAATAAAGGTAAAAATGGAAAGAAATTAGGGGTCAAATGGCTAGTAGAGATGGAAGGAAGGAATCAAAATACTATTATCTTACATAGTGAACAGTTATAAATTATTAAATTGTTGCCTAGATAGCAAAAGAAAGTTTTGAGAATATTATTTAATTTTACTAAGTTAACCAAAAGAGAAATTTAAACTAGTAGAATCTTTCAAAAATAAGAGCAGAGGAGGAGGAGGCTCAGGTCATATAATGGGTAGAAACAGAAACATTTAAAAGCATTTATCTTTGAGGAGGAGCTACACTGGTTATTCTTACTCTAAAATCTTTACTCTTTTACTGTTCGATAGTCTGCATCATCAGTTTAATATATTATGCTCTTTAAAATATATTATATTATGCTCTTTAAAATATTTTATTTCATTGTATGGGTAGTCTTAAGAATATATAGTTTGGATTTCCCAATTGAAAATGGAATTCCAGCTCCTCAGAGGTCTGATGTAGAGGATCACTTGAGGCCAGGAGTTGGAGACCAGCCTGGGCAACATAACAAGATCCTTGTCTCTTAAAAAAATTAAAAATTAAAATATGTCAATTTTTATTTGAATTTTAAAAATTAAAATATGTCAAGTTAAAAAACTTGACAGTGGACATGATGTTAATATTATTATGTTTACTATAAAATGTGAGCAATTTGAGCTACTTGTAAGAACCTGTTCTGAGCAGAAATTACTTTGGGGACAGCTAATAATTGGCTTAGTGATATTACTTTTCATTTGTCAGCTCTTTTCATATCTTTGGAGACAGCCATTAATAATATAGCTAAATCAATGATCCTATCATTATTTTCACATCAGTGGTCAGTAACAGATGTATAATAGACTGAAAATGGTTATGATTCTCAGGTCATTATAGTAAAATTGCTTAAAAAGAGAAACCCACATATTTTTAGCTTTAAGGCATGCCAATAATATATTGACTTAAACACTGCCTTATAGTTTGAATAAAGCCGTATTTTTGGTTAGACAATTATACAAGTGTAAAGTCAAGACTTTATATCATGTATTTGAAAGCCTGCCAAGATTTGACATTTTATATTTGTCTTACATTTGAGAAGATACTATTTTTTTTTGTTAGAATTTGTGGGAGAGAAAAAAAGCTATAAAAATTCAATTTCACATAAAATTGTTTGAAATTGCCTTTCACTTGGCTAAATAGCATTATTGATTTTGCCTTTTATAAAATAAAAGCTTAATAAAACTATACAACTTTAATTTCAAGGAGAAGAAATATACATATATATATGTATATGTATATATATCACATAGTCTGATACCCTTCCTTTGGAAAAATAACAAAGGTTAGTATTTTCATACCAAATCTATGAGCTGTTATGATGTTCTCCTAGAGAATGAATCATGCCATAATTAATGATTAGGCCAATTTATAATGATTGCTCTTTTGCATTTTAGGTGGGTGCTATTTAATGTGGAGGACCACAATGCAGACAGATGAAGAAAAGCTTTTTATATCAATTGATATAGGCTGAGAAAATGATGAAAGAGGCAGTATTTTAAGATTTGTGTTGCTACGGACAGTAGAAAATAGAAACACACATGGGCAAATTGAAGTGTAATATTATCACAATTTTGGGGACTATACCAGTAATTTTCAAAGATTCTACTGGTTCAAGCTAGAAAGTTTCATACAACTTACTGTTTTGCCATTAGCAGAAGATTGGAACAAAAATTAGTTTTGTCTGGAGGATTCTGAATGAAAGTTGTTGAAATTGCTTTATTCTAAGTAAAACATACCATTATTGAAACATGATTTCAAGAATATCATCAATATTTATTATTTATATAGGCTTTTTCAATAAAGTTGTACCTGCTTTATATGTGAAGTAGAAGAAACCATTAAAATAAATAACTTTGGTAAATAAGAAAAAAATTATTTCTGAAATGTTCAGAAAATTTAGTGTCTTAAAAAAAAATTTTCTTCATTGCAAATACTTTTTTTTTAGTTCATGATCTGCTGAACACTTCATTTCTTGAGTAGTTCAAGAAAAGTTTTCTAATTTCAGTTACCAATAGATATTTACACATGGATCTCAAAATCATTTACAGCATTTCTTTGTCCATACTGCCTGTTGAGAGAGAGATATTTTATAAACTTGGAAACTTTTTATCAAAAGCAGAGATAGAAAGCAAGGAAGCAGAAGATTATCGCTGTGCTGTGGATGGATCAGACTACACAGAAAATTAGCATTAATTTGTGAAAACCTCTTTTTTATTTATTCACTTTGGAAACAAATTTGCATGCCATCCTCTCTGACTTTTAAACCAAAAATCACTGTTACAAACCAGAGGAACCAGTCCAGATTCATTGTGGCCTGAAATTAAAGTGTTGGAGAAATATAATTTAAAACAAAATCCCCTCTTACTTCAGAAAACCTCTCCACAGGGTAGAAAAGGAAGAAAACAATTTTATTATTGAATAAACATTAAATCAGAATGTGATACACAGCACAGGCAATCCACTAAAAGATTGCAAAGATAAAAAGACGTCTTTCCTTTTTATATAGCAAAGCAGATATAACCTATTACATGCATGTTATTAAGATAAACAATATCTAGTTCTCAAGAGGATTTGACAGCACCATTTGTCACCATTCAATGGATGACCACCCCTGGTAATTGGGGTGGTCATCTTTGTTTGTTAACTTGCTTTATCCAAAGAAAAAATACATTTCCCATATCTTTATGGCAAGAGTTAGTTTTGAGCAAGGCATTGGCCAAAATTAGACTCCTGCCCTCCTACAGAAATTGGGAGGTAGGGGCATTATCTTCCTTGATGATTACATTTCAAGAGATGGTTCCCAGGTCTTTGATTGAGACATTCCTGGTCATCAATCTGGCAAGGGGCTTATTTAGCTTTAAAAATCATTTAGGTCAATTTCAAAGAAGCAGAGAAAGAACTTAATTAAAAGTTTTCTAAAATAAATGCTTTCAACAAGCAGCATTAAACCTCCTATCTTCAACTTTTATCCACCTTTATAGCTCTTAGGGGGAAATAAAAAGGACGTCATGAGCTGAAATTCTCTTCTGAATCACTAATATTGGTTTTTGAAAAAAAAAAGCCATTGATCTTGGTAAATGAGATTTGTAGCTTAAGGATATGCTTACTCACTGAGGTCTAAGCTTTGCTGTGCCTAAACTTATTCAAATAATGAAATATTGAGTAAGTATATCTGAGATAATATTGAAAAACTAAGTGGTCTTTAACTGATATTTGACTGAAATTGCTTATGCTTACATAGCAGTGATAGAAATTTGGAAGATGTATTGGTACTGTTATATTTGAGTAGTCTTCGAGGTAAGGGTTCCAGATTTAACAAATGAAAATTCAAGACACCCAGTGAAAAGTGAATTTCTAATAAATTCAACTGTAATGGCCTGTCTTGTTTTATCTGTCAAATCCACTCTGAGGTGCAATGGTTGAAGCAATAAGGCATTCAAATTTTAGTTAGCTAAGTACTAAAAGTGTGAATGCCAGCAAGAGGGACAGTATTCTTCCCATCTGTTATCTATAAAATAGCTTAGAAATTTTAAGCTTATCAAGAGACTTTATTGTTTCCTAGGTAGAACGTTAACCTGGAAGTCAGACTAATATTAGAAGCTGGTGGCAATTAATATTTATTAAATGCTGGCAGGGTACCAAGCTCAGTTGTGTTCTATAAGCATCATCTCATTTAATTCACACAACATTTTTATGAGCTATAGACTAATATCATCCTGTTTTACAGGTGAGGAAATGATTTTAAGATAAGCAATACTAATAATCAAAATTGTGCTTTAAATCCCAGTTTGGTCAAATTGAAGGTTTACTTTCCTAAACTATACACTCTACTACCTTCCAGATGACATAGCTTCTAGAATCTATTTCTTTTGTTTCTAACTTTGCAGCCTTCCTTGGATGAGTCACTTAACCTCTGTTTTTCAATTTTTACGTATATGAAATCTGAGTATTAAATTGGATAATTTCTTGATTAGTACAATTATGTGATTTTTGTCAAGAAATTAGAATTATGCTACTGAAGTATGGGAAATAGAGATGTGTATAATTTGCCTTTATATAGATTCTAAGGTCAACTATGGCACACAATGTTTTTCATACCCATGTATTTCTTCCCGGTATGTACTACAGCATTTTATATAGACTCTCAGTGGATGCATGAGTAAGGGTTGGGATCACTGAGTTGTGTATTTCTTCCAGAAATATGGAATTCAAAAGGTCATTAAGAAGAAAAGAAATTCTCAAGTTCCTTCTGAATTTCTAATAACACGGGAAATGAGGTAAGGATACAGGAGAGTAGTACGCTGAAATGATAGTGGTGAGCCATTCAGGTTAGTTAACAGGAACTAATGACTGGGCTTCTAGAACTCTGTATATGCATGTGAGGCTCTTTTGGCTGTCTTAAAATTATCCTGTTCCTATGTTCTGGAACAAACATTTTCTTCCACCTCCTAAAGTTTTGTTCTTTACTTGTAACTTCACTGGTCCTCATTATTCTTCAGAGCAGAGAAGGGGCATTCTTCAAAATAGGCGTAGACGCTCTCTCTCTCTCTCTCTCTCTCTCTCTCTCTCTCTCTCTCCACCCCCAACCACCCCCCCGCCCCATCTCTTTCAGGCTTCTTTTTACTAAAATAACAAATTCACAGACATGCATGTAAAAAATCCCAAAGTGACTCACTTAAAAAGTGCCACATGTAACTATATAGAAGCATAGTTTCTGAATAGGAATTATAGGAATTATGAATCAATAAGACAGGAGGAGGTACACAAAAGCAGACCAGAATATAGACCAGTCATGACACTGTGGCATAGTTATCAAAAGGTATAGTGACATTTGTAGCTGACAAGAAGGTGATTGTTGTGCATATAAACTCTGAAACTCTGGGAAGTGTAGACCTGAGATCATGTATTTCAGGTTTAGAAACTTGGCATTATCAGCAGGTAGGCTGGATTTAATAAAACCTATGTGTCTAAAATGCAGAAAATTGAGCTTCAAGAGAAGATTAGAGGGACAAACAATATAAATTGCAATGCAGTGATGCATTACTAAAAGGTGAGAGCTAAAATAAATGTTATGGTAGTTAATATTAGGAAAATAACGCAGACCAAAATACGTAAACCATGAATTACTAAAGTATCATAAGGCTAGGCCATGCTCATGAAATGAAAAAAAAAAGTGGGATCAGAAGAAAGGACCATGTCTCTTCCTATGTTTTTTACATTCACAAATTTATTCTACAAATTTTTAAAAGGCTAATTTGAATAAAATTTATGTAATATAAGAAGGATTGGCAACTAGAACTAAAAATAAAGGCTTAAGCATATGATGTGGTGTACCTAAGGGAATCTTTGAATATGGTTGGTACTATTTTACTAGAAAGTAGGTAAAAATATTTACAAGAGGTTAAGTGTGAAGAAGTATGAAGAATGAGATTTATGGGTCATTATGGAGAAGAGAGATAGATGGAGGAATTCTCAGAGCATAGAACAGCAATGGCAGAAATTGCCAAAGTTGATTTCATGAAGTTGGTGGCAAAACACTGAAAAAAATGTACATAGAATAAAATGAGTTAAGGGGATTTTATAGTACACTCTTGCCTCCTATAACTTCCAGAACACTGTGGAAGCTACTTATAGAGAGATTAGGAAGTTTAGGGGAAAAAAAATGTTTATTTTTTCAGAAAACTCAGAATGTACATATACCAGCAATTGCCAAAAGGACTGCCAAAAGCAGTGGATCTTCTAGGTCAGAATAAAATGGAGAACCTCTTTACATAGATGTAGATTTCAGGACTGTATTAGTTAACTGTTGCTAGGTAATAAAATACCTCAAAATTTCACATTTTAAAACAACAATCATTTGTTATCACACAGTTTTTCTGGATCAAGAGTCTAGGTATAGCTTAGCTTGTCCTCCTGTTTAGGATCTCTCTTGAGCCTCAAATCCAGTTATCAGTTGGAGCTGCTCTCATCTAAAGGCTTAAAAGAGGAAGGATCCATTTTCAGGCTTACTTACACGGGCTGTTGGCCGGCTCAGAAGATTCACTTCCAAGCTCAGTCATATGGCTGTTGGCAGGCCTAAGGCCCTTGTTGGCTGTTGCAGAAGACATTAGTTCTTCGCCACGTGGGCCTCTCCATAGAGCAGCTCACAACTTGGCAACTGGCTTCTCTCAGAGGGACTAACAGAGAAAGCAAGATTTCGGTAGTCACATCCCATGATTTTGACATATTCTATCTGTTAAAAGCAAGTCACTAGGTACAGTCCATAGTCAGTGGGAGGAAGTTACACAAGGGTGTAAATACCAGGGTGCAGGAATCAATGAGGCATATCTTAGAGTCTGCCCAGTACAAAGACTTTGCTCTATGCAACAATATTAGATGATGAACAGCAAGTGGCGAGAAGTGGAGTTGACTGCCTGGACTCAGACTATCCAAGCATAATCATCTTTCATTCTCAGAATAAATTTTAGCTCATAAAGATTAAAAAAATTCAATACAGAAAAAACAATCTCTTCTAATTTTTTTCATAATATTAATGTCTGGCATAAGTAAGGAACTGTGGCATTTAGTGATGCTCTTTAGCTTAAATAAGATTAAATCAGGACAGATTAAACTGTAATGACTAGAACTAAGGAATTTAACCTAATGTTCTTAACTGAACAGTAAAGAACTCCCAAGATGAGTTTATTTAACCACATATTCTAGTTTTTTGTATTTTCTTTTGTGAAAGATGTACTTTCTTTATATATGCTATTAGACAAGGACATTTTCCAGCAAAATGTTTATCACCTGCCTGAGCAGCTTTCCTTTATCAAAAGTTAAGAGGAACAATTATAAGGCATTACATATATTGATAAACTAAGCATAATTCTGAGTAGTTTCACATTTAGGGAAAAAAAGATAAATGTTTATCTCATCTGCATGATTTTAAAACAAGGATTAAATACAATAGAGTAGGCAAAGCAAAATACAGAAAAAAAGTCCTGTTAAGTAAGTCTACCATATTATAGAGCCTGATGGGATGAATGTAAAATCTATATAAAGAAGATGTCTATCTATCTATCTATCATCTAATCTATCTATGTATCTATGTATCTATCTATCTATTATCTATCTATCCATCAAAGAATGGAATTTAAAATATGCCAAACAAGATGCTTTATAATTTAGGCATGTTTCTGTTTTGTGTTTTCAGCTTTACATTCTTATTCTCTAAGGTTTGAGTGTTTTTTAAGCAAAGAAATTTGGTTTATAAATGAGAGTCACTTATGTCTAGATATTGCTTATTAAATAATTCTTCTGAGAGGTAATTTTAGATTTGCTGTAAGCGATTAATCAGTGTTTCTTGAGATTCTTAGACACTGGTAAAACAAAACGGAGAGGGAAATTAAAGAATCACGCAGTCTATGTTGGAAGAGAAATGGGTGATTCTTTAGTTTATTCGTCATCATCTCCACCTTCAAGTGCTCCTTCCAAAGCATACTGTAGCCTTTATACATTTCCAAAGATAGAAACCTCTTCACACTGCTTATTTTATTGTTAAATATCTCCAATTGATTAAGAGATCAACTTATGTAATGCCCATATCTACCCCTCTAAAATTTCCAAAAATCAACCTTTGCTTTGCTTTTTGTACTAGCATAGAGAGCCTAATCTCTCCCTAGATGGTGACCTCCTTCATGAACAACATCATGTCTTTTTCTTGTCTCTAGATACCACATGTCTTGTAAATGATAAATATTTCAACATGTATTTTTGAATGAGTAAACTACAATCTTTGAGCAAACTATGAGGAAAGACTTAGTATTATAGTTTTCCTTCTAAATTATCATATGTATAAATGAAGGCAAGTGATTTGTTTTCTAGGGTCAGGATCACTTCTTTGTCTCCACAAATGCATAGGAGAATAGATGAACTATTTGTGCTTAACTATATGGACCTTATCTCCTGTGCTCCATGAAACCAAATTTCTTCCTGTAATAAATTGCCCTCTAGGCATTCTTAACTTTGCTTGTCTCCTGATTCCTTCCTTGAACTTCTGGTTTTCAACTTCTTAACTTATTTTTTGACCTGTTTACACTTACTCTAGCCAGCCCTAAGAACGTTTCCACCAATCCTATCCCTGACCTGATTTGTTCTCCCTTGAGGCCATCTAAACTCTAGAATGGTGGATTCTTCGTGTGTAGTGTTGAATTGGGTGGAAATTTGGTCACTTTCTTTGTGACTGTTTGCTGAATAGAAGTGAATGCCTAAAACATAATGTTTTATGGTGCAGACTATAGTGTATCATGGTGAACGTTCCATGTGAGCTTGAGTACAATGTGCATTCTGATGTTGTTGGGTGCTAGTCTATAGATGTCAATTATATACAGTTGATTAATGATGTTGTTTAGTTCAACTATGTTCTTGCTGATTTTAGCCTGCCGGATCTGTTCATATCTCACAGAGGAGTACTGAAGTCTCCAACTATAATAGTGCGTGCTTCCATTTCTCCTTGAAGGTTTATGAGGTTTTGCCCTACATAGTTTAATACTTTCTTAATAGGCAGGTACACATTTGAGATTATTATATCTTTTTGGAGAAGTGAGCCCTTTTTCATTATGCATTGTCTATCTTTATCCTTAATTACTCTACTTATTTGGAAGACTCCTGTGTCAGCAATTAATATAGTCTTGCTTTCTTTTGATTAGTGTTTCCATGGTATATATATATTTTTCATCCATTTACTTTAATTTACATTTGTCTTTGTATTTAAAGTGAGTTTCTTGTACACCAGTATATTGCATCTTATTTTTTGATCCACACTCAGAATCGCTATCTTTTAGTTGGCATACTTTGATGATTTGTGTGCAAAATGATTACTTATATATTTGAATTTATGTCTACCATATTTATTACTGTTTTCTATTTGTTGCTCTAGTTTCTCATTTTTATTTTTTCTTCAACTCTTTTTCTACCTTTTACTGTTTTAGTTGAGCATCTGATAAAATGTCATTTTTCTACTTTCTTAGCATGTCAGTTATACTTTTAAAATTTTTCTTTAGAATTTGAAGTATATATTTACAACAAATCTAACTTCATTTTGAAATAAACTAAGCTGCTTTAGAAGTAATGTGAGTACCTGATAATTATAAAATAATTCTAATTGCTCCCTCCTGTCCCTTGTATCACTGATGGCATTTACTTCACTTATATATAGAAATACATAAGGTTATATGTAATATATATGATTATATATGCTTATATGATATATATGGAAGCATATATAATCAAATTAGTACATGTACATATATACAAAATGCTTAGTAAAAATACATTGTTGCTTTTATTATTTTGAGAAAACTGCTATGTGTTAGATAAGATTGAAAATAAGGCAAAGTAAAAATTTGTTATTTTACCCATTTCTTCAATGTTTTTTTCTTTATGAAGATCAAAATTTCTGACCTATACTATTTTCCTTTTCTCTGAAGAATGTCTTTTGACATATCTTGCAAGGCAGATCTACAGGAATGAATTTCCTCAATTTTTGTTTGTCTGAGAAAATCTTTATTTCTCACTTACTTTTGAAGGATAATGTTGCAGGGAACAGAATTCAATTTTTTTTCCTTTGTCTCAATGCTTTAAATAATTTACTCCATTCTCTTCTTGCTTGCATGGCTTGGGAGGAACAGTCAGATATAAGTCTTATCTTTGTTCTTTTACAGGTAATGTTTCTTTAGCTTTTTTCAGGATTTTTTTCCTTTGATTTTCTGTAGTTATAAAATGATATTCCTAAGTATAGCTTTGGTTTTCTTTTTTTTATCCTACTTTGTGTACTCGAAGATTCGTGGATTTGTGGTTTGGTGTTTGATCGTAATTTGGGAAAATTCTCAGTTATTATTATCTCAAATATTATTGTATTTTTTTTCTCTCTTTCTTCTACTTCTGGTATTCCCATTACATATATGACTACCTTTTGTAGTTGTCCTGCAGCCCTTTGTTATTCCATTCTGGTGGTTTTTATTCTTCATTGTTCTCTTTGCTCTTCAGTTTTTATTTTTTTATGCATATCCTAAAGCTCAGAGGTATTTTCCTTAGCAGTGTTCAGTCTACTAATAACCCTATCAAAAACATTGTTTCTGTTACAATGTTTTTGATCTCTTGCATTCCTTTTTGGTTTGTTCTTAGAATTTCAATCTCTCTGCTAAGATTACACATCTGTTCTTTTATACCATCTATTTTATCCATTAGAGCCTTCAGCATATTAATTGACATTGTTTAAATTCCCAATCTGATAATTCCCATAACCTTAGTAGAGTTCCGATGCCTTCAAAGTGCATTTTTTGGCTTTTAGCATGCCATGTAATTTTTTCTTGATTGACAAACATGATGTGCTGGACGAAAGAAATTGCAGTAAAAAGGTTTTTGCGAGTGCGATGGTAAAGTGTTGGGGAAAGGAAGTGTTCTAGAGTCCCAAGGTAAGATTTCAGTCTTTTAGTGAGTCTGGGCCTTTGGACTGTGAACTTCACAAGTGCTTTCAGACATTGTTCCTTGGGTGGAACTGGGTGGCTAGAGATGGGCTAGAGTTGGCTACTTCTCCTAGATCAGTCAGGTTCTGAAAAAAACCCAGTAGGTTAGACTCAGCTCACAGTTTCTCTTGAGTGCAGCCCGTGTTAAGAAGAATAGAGTATTCTGGTGAATTTAGAAATTATTTTTTCTTCATCTTTTGCCAGATATATGCAGATATTTTTCTCTTATATTCACTATAAGAACCTGCTCAAACCACTGGAGATAAAACTCACAAAACGTGGGAGACCGACTGCTTTATAACTGGATGCCCTGGAGTTTTAACCTTCAGCTTGCCCACACTGAGCCTCTAGTGAGTCATCAATTACTGTTCAGATTTTCCTATTCTGATGTTGGTTCTTGTGTAAGTTTTCACTCACAAGTCTCTGTTCTGGTAAGCCTTGACTCCCTGTATTCATCTCCACAATCTTGGGGACAGCAATTTATGTCTCTTCACTTCTCTTAAGGGTACAAGATGAATGGTTGATTTTTCATTCTCTTCAGCTTTAGGATTGTTGTTAGGATGGAAGTGGCAACTTTCAATCTCCTTAGATGTAGAACTGGCAACTGGAAGTCTGTTTCTATAATTTTTAACTTTAGAAAAGTAAGGCAAAAAAATTGTTGAGAAACTGTGAATATAGTAAGTATTTCCTTTTGTAAATATAATTTTGTGGGTTTTATTTGGGTTCAAATTCTTATCATGATGTCTTATTCATTCATGTATTGAGTATAATTGATATGCCATGTAAGTTTAACCACCTAAAGTCAGTTTGACATTTCTAAGCAAAGCCAAGGGTTACAAAGAAACTGGTTGTCATATTTTTATGAATTGACATTCAAACTAAAACTATAAAATGGCCTTCAGAGTTAAGAATGTAGAGTACCTTGGTTTTTAATATCTCATGGGTGAAAGAGGAAGGAGCTCTGAAGATTCTTTGATCTCAATTGCTCTTGAAGGAGTTGTTGCAATAATACTCAATAATGTCTGGTGTCCTGATGTATTTGAGAATATTTCCCCTAGATATTCCCTAATTAGAATACAGCCAATTCCTACTGCCTTTAACCCATTACCACTAGGCAAGGAAGGAATAGCAGAGCAATCTGGTAGTCATTAAGAATATTTGAAGGTAAATGTGTTCTACTGGGATTAAGCATTTCATTCTCCTGATAATAAAATTATATTAGCTTCATAGGTATTCACAATATACTTTAGGCTATTTTAAAACAATTAAGAAAATAAAGAATATTCACTTCCTTGAGTTTGTTATTGTTGTTGTTGGTCTGTTTAATTTGTAGCTTGGAAACAGAGCAGACTCAGCTGAGAAAATTAAAAATGATAGTAATATAAGTTCTTTCAAACCTTAAGAATGAAGGGTGAGAGCTCACTATGCTTCAGAATGCATTATATAGCTACAATGTACTACAAAATATCCCTGAAGTGAATCATTACTTAAAAAACCAAAAGCCAGTTAATTAAAAATACAGTGTAATTTACCCTTAAAATATGTATATTATTTTGTAGGCACTATGAAAATATGCACTCAGGAGTTAAATATATGAATGAAAAATAAATAAACTAGCCACCAAGGTAAAATATCAACCATGATTACATCCAAATATTTGCCTTTCTTGTGTTTCTATGTGTGTCACTAGGCAGGACTAGTGAAAAACACATAGTGAGTGCTGTCTGGTATAACTTTAACTATTTAGCTTTAACTAAACTCAAGGGGGTTCTTTGAGTTTATATTTCACTATATTTCCCTAGTTAATTTACTCTTTCCCTCTGTTGGATGTTATAGTACCTTTTCAAATCTTCCATATTTTCTCTCCATCCTTACTCACAGGTGATGATTTATTACTTTGAATGAAGTGTTCATGATCCCATCTCAGGCTAATGCCTCCACTTATGTATAAAATACACTCCATTTATTTTGTCTACCCAGGAAATCAGCTCTAACTATTCTTCCTTCCTTCTTTTGCATAAACATGTTATCTTTATCATCTTTTAAAATGATCTTCTTAAAAAATTATTTTATTTCAATAGTTTTTGGGGAATAGGTGGTTCTTAGTTACATGGATAAGTTCTTTAGTGGTGATTCCTGAGATTTTGTTGCACCCATCACCCGAGCAGTGCACACTGTACCCAATGTGTAATGTTTTATGTCTTATCACCCTCTCACCTTCCCCCAAGTCCTCAATGTCCATTGTATCTTTCTTATGCCTTTGAATCCTCACAACTTAGCTCCCACTTATAAGTGAACACATAAAATACTTGGTTTTCCATTCCTGAGTTATTTCACTTGGAATAATGGTCTTCACATGAACCCTAGAACTTAAAGTATAATTTTAAAAAAAGAATAATGGTCTTCAACTCCATCCAGGTTGCTGCAAAAGTCATTATTTGCATCCTTTTTATGGCTGAATAATATTCCATGCTATATAACTCTGGGTAGATACCCAGTAGTGGGATTGCTGGTTCAAATGGTAGTTCTACCTTTAGTTCCTTAAGGAATCTCCATACTGCTTTCTATAGTGGTTGTACCAGTTTACATTCCCATCAGCAGTGTAAATGTATTCCCTTTTCACCATATCCACACCAACATCTGTTATTTTTTATTTTTAAATTATGGCCATTCTTACAGAAGTAAGGTTAACACCACTAATTGTCAGAGAAATACAGATTAAAACCACTTGTGAATGGTTTTAATTCACACTCATTCGTAATGAGTGGTTTTAATTTGTATTTCTCTGATAACTAGCGATGTTAACTACTTTTTCACGTTTGTTGGCCATTTGTGTATCTTCTTTTGAGAATTTTATATTAATGTCCTTAGCCCACTTTTTGATGTGATTTTTTTTTTTCTGATTTGTTTAGAGTTCCTTGTAGATTCTGGATATTAGTCCTTTGTCAGATTCATAGTTTGTGAAGATTTTCTCCCACTCTGTGGGTTGTCTGTTTACTCTGCTGATTATTCCTTTTGCTGTGCAGAAGCTTTTTAGTTTAATTCAGTCCTATCTATATTCGTTCTTTTCCATTTGCTTTTGGGTTCTTGGTCATGAACTCTTTGCCTAAGCCAATGTCTACAAGAGTTTCTCCTATGTTATCTAAAATTCTTATGGTTTCATGTCTCAGATTTAAGTCTTTGACCCACCTTGAGTTGAATTTTGTATAAGATGAAAGATGAGGATCCAGTTTCATTTTTCTACATGTGGCTTGCCAATTATCCCAGCACCATTTGTTGAGTAGGATGTCCTTTTCCCACTTTATATTTTTGTTTGCTTTGTTGAAGATCAGTTGACTGTAAGCATTTGGCTTTATCTATGGGTTCTTTATTCTGTTCCATTGGTCTACATGCCTATTTTTCTGTAATTACCATTCTGTTTTGGTAACTATAGCCTTCTAGCATAGTTTGAAGTCAGCTAATGTGCCTCCAGATTTGTTCTTTCTGTTTAGTCTTGCTTTGGCTATGCAGGCTCTTTTTTGGTTCCGTATAAATTTTAAGACTTTTTTCTATTTCTGTGGAGAATGATAATGGTATTTTTATGGGAATTGCATTGAATCTGTAGATTGCTTTTGGCAGTATGATCATTTTCACAATATTGATTCTACTCATTAATAATCATGAAATGTGTTTCCATTTGTTTATGTCATCAATAATTTTTTTCAGCAGTTTTGTAGTTTTCCTTGTAGAGATCTTTCACCTCCCCAGTTAGGCATATTCTTAAGTATCTTATTTTTTGCGTAGCTGTTGCAAAAGGGATTGAGTTCTTGATTTGATTCTTAGCTTGGTTATTGTTGATGTGTAGCAGTGTTAATGATTTGTATACATTTATTTTGTATCCCAAAACTTTATGAATTCATTTATCAGATCTAGGAGGTTTTTGGATAAGTCTTTAAGGCTTTCTAGGTATACAATTCTATTATCAGCAAACAGTGACACTTTGACTTCCTCTTTACTGATTTAGATGACCTTTGTTTCTTTCTCTTTTCTGGTTGCTCTGGTTAGGACTTCCAGTAGTGAAAGTGGGCATCCTTGTCTTGTCCCTGTTCTCAGGGTGAATGCTTACAGCTTTTCCCCATTTAGTATAATGTTGGCTGTGACAGATAAAGAATTCATAAGGTTGATTATTAACCTACTCAAGGAGATACCAGGGAAAGGTGAAAAACACCTTAAAAAAAAATTAAAGATACTTTACAGGATGTGGATGACAAATCCTTCAGAGAAACAGATATTATAAGGCAAAAAATTCATAACTTTTAGAAATGAAAGATACACTTTGAGAAATACAAAATGCACTGCAAAGTTTTAACAATAGACTAGAGCAAGTAGAAGAAAGAACTTCAGAGGTCAAAGATAAGTCTTTAAAATTAACCCAATCAAAGACAAAGAAAAAAGAACAGAAAAATGAACAAAGCCTCCAAGAAATTTGGGATTATGTTAAATGACCAAACCTAAGATTAATTGGAAAGAGGGAAATCTATAAGTTTTTCCAAACTTTTAGAAATTTAAAAGATTTCCCTCTTATTTGAAGGAACAATTGAGAAAAATTTTTCTGGCCTTGCTAGAGATATAAGCATCCACATACAAGAAACTCAAAGAACACTTGGGAAATTCATCACAAAATGATCATTGCCTAGGCACATAGTCGTCAGGTGATCTAAAGTCAAGACGAATGAAAGAATCTTAAGAGCTGTGAGCACAAAAGCATCAGGTAACCTACAAAGGAAAACCGGTCGGATTCACAGCAGATTTCTCAGCGGAAACTTTAAAATGCTTTTGACTCCATTTCTCTTTCCTATCACTACCCCATTCCTCTGATTCTTGTTAGAGCATAATTTCTCAAAAGATTTGGCTTTGCTCACTGTCCTTATTCCTGTGATCCTCCCTAACTCTCTTTTACCTGCTCTAAATAGGCTTTCAACACAACAAACACTTCTATGAAACTATTTGCTATATCCAGAAGTCATTTCTTACTTTCTTCTTGATTTATCAGCAAGATTTGATGCTGATGATAACTCTTTTCTTTCTAAAACTACATTTCAGGTGCCCTACGCTTACTGTTTTGTCTCTGGACTTACCGGCTGCTCCTTCTTGCTGTTATCTTACTTGTTTATCTTCTGACTATCCTAATATTGCAAGGGCACAGATCTCAGTCCTTGGGCCTCTGCTCTTCTTTGTCTATATTTAATGTCTTGGGAATTTCAGCCAGTCATGATATAAATATCAACTATACAGTAATGACTTTTTTTTTTTTTTTTTTTGAGAGGGAGTCTCGCTGAGTCGCCCAGGCTGGAGTGCAGTGGTGCAATCTCGGCTCATTGCAAGCTCTGCCTCCCGGGTTCACGCCATTCTCCTGCCTCAGCCTCCCAAGTAGCTGGGACTACAGGTGGCTGCCACCACGCCTGGCTAATTTTTTGTATTTTTAGTAGAGGGGTTTCACCATGTTAGCTAGGATGGTCTCGATCTCTTGACCTCATGATTTACCCGTCTTGGCCTCCCAAAGTGCTGGGATTACAGGCGTGAGCCACTGTGCCTGGCCTACACTAATGACTTTTAACTGAAGGTCAGATTTAGGTCAGATTTCACATATATGTGTTTCCAGAAATCTCTGCTTAAGCATCTAAAAGTCATCTCAAATTTAACATCTAAACAAAATCTGGTTATTCCACCTCAACTTTCTCATTCCCCCTCATTCCCCTATTCCTTAATTATTGGCAGTGCTATTTTTCCAATTGCTCAGATTGAGCTTGGGGTCCCTCTTGCATCATGTTTTACTCTCACACCTCAATACACAATCTGACAGAAAATTATTTCTGCTGTTTCATTTTAGTAAATTTGGAAGCTGACCACATTTGCTACCTTTACTGCTATCCAGACTATACACTGTCATCTCTCCCTTGTACTACTGCATCAACTTCCTTAAGGGTATCATTGCTTCTACTCTATCCTGTCCATGGTCTCTATACACAACACAATAGTGAGAATTATCTTAATAAAATGAAATTCAGATTGTGTCATTTCTCTTCTTAGAACCTTCTAGGATAACTTAAAAGAGCCAATCAAACTAATGGTTGCTTCTGCTAGGGGCAAACCATTTTTAAAAATATTCTTTTAATGTTAACATATCATTGTATAAATATCATTGTATTATTTGTACACTGTATTCTCAGCCATAATGCATATAACTATACAAAATGGAAGTGAGAAATAGGTAAAATTCCCTTGTCTAGTTTACAAGAAAACTTAGAGGCAAAGGAAAGTGCTACTTAATCAATGCTTTTACACTTTTTGTTGCCACAATTTACTGGATACTCTATTTCTTCAAAAGCAGAAGAAGCATTATTTTCAGATCATGTCTCGATATGGAGCTTAGTGGTCTTTATCAGTATATACTTAAAGAATGTTTATTTCTTAATGATACTGAATTTTGTAATGAAAACCCAAATGTGCAAATAGTTATAAACAAGAGGGGTCACAATTGTTTTAGATTGACTTCAGAAACCATTTGTTTTGTATTTTGTTTTAAGAATTACAGGAACATAGCTACAAATGATGAGTTTGATTTGGAAATGTATTCTTTGGTCATATAAAGATGGGATACAAATACCTTGGGAACTTTCCTTTCCTGTATTATGCGTAAGTCTCCCCAGCACCTATTTTCAGATTAAAGAACTCACTTTTTAACAGCTATGGTCTAAAAATTAAGGTCATCTTTTAAACACTATTAACTGTAAATGAATTTTTATTACGGATTTTGTAATTTTCTAACAAAAGTTACTAAAAGAATGCTTGAAAAGATGATGTAATCTTTCATAAGCTAGTAAAAATTTCTTTCTTCTATTTTTAACTTTCTTCTGATTTTTAAAAATTGTGTTCATGATTGACACATAATACATGTATAAAGGATGTTTTCATACGTGTGATGTTTTCATATGTGCATACATTGTATAAAGATCAAATCAGGGTAGTTATCATGTCAATCACCTCAAACTTTTAGCATTTAAAGTTTCAGGTGAGAACTTCAGAGTGACAATAGTTTTCTGTTTATGGCTTCTTATTACAGGGTCATATTCAGTACATTAAACTTAATAAAAACTTCGTCTGTTTATGTGGATTTGTGAATATTTTATATATATACTGCACTTCAGTAAAATATACTGTATGTTGACCAAAATGAATTTGGTTTATTAGGAGAGGATAGCACCATTGCATGCAAATATTTTGCATAATTTATTCATGATTCATTGTTGGTCTATTAGAATACTCCATAATGATTGAAGATGCCAACTCACATTAAAAATAAGCTTACAAGATCCTGGTTAATAAGCAGTAAGTCCAATGTATTAATTGACAATGAAGATCATTCTTTTCTATTAACTACAATGTTCAGAGTCCCTATTTAGGATATACTTTTCATGATCACTAAATTAATAAATGTAAGGTTGCTTAGTAACTACTGTAGGATACAAGTAGAGGAAGGTAAATTATTACAGGGGATTTTTCATTTAGACCATGATGACACTCAATGATATATTTCTTTTTGTAAACCAAGGTCTTGTTGCTAAGGGCTGTGTACTGCCCATCAGATTTGGTGTCTTTCAGTCTGAACTATTTCAGAGCAACCGTGACACCTTGCAGCTGTTGAGCTTCCCTTTTCTAACTTCTAGGCTGTGTTTTTTTTTTCTTATTTATGTACGTTTTCTTTAGATAGAATGCAATGTAGATAATGAGGTTTCAAATTACTAAAAATGCATTTTAACTCTGCTTACATGAGATAACACTTGGGATATTTTGATAATTTTATTGGGGCTTCACAATTTTTTGGCCATCCACATACATTGACAATCACTTTATTTACTACATGTGTTATTAACCATTTCGTTTGTGCACAATTTTGTTCAGAGGGTCATTTAAGCTTCAAGTTATTTGAGGTAACTTTATTGTCTCACTCATGTACCTTCTACATTATTCAGATAATTTATGAACTTGTTTTCGTGTGTTTAAAACAATTTTTAAAATGTTAGGTTTAAAAGATTGAAAAAAAAATATGTGATAATTCATTACCCTTTCTACCTGCATCCAGCTATATGAACATGAATCAGTTCAGAAAGATCAGAATATATCCTCCTTTCAGAGCACAGTTATTCTTGAAATCTATCCCATTTTTTGACAAGTCTATGAACACAATGGCATCATTAGCAATGATTGCAGAGTCAGAACAAAAATTAGTATTTTTGTTTGGAGAATCTCAGAGTTTTCAATTAGTTTGGAAAGACATATAATTTTCTGACTATTCCTTTCCTGCTATTCACCATCCATTACTGACATAAGTCAAGCAACCATTGGGAGTCAGAAAAAAACAGAATAAATTTTTATGCTCGTGCATCAGCATTTTCTAAATATCTCCCAGAAGGCATGCATTCCTTCAGCCTCACTTGTAGGCTGGAGAATAGACACACATGCATGTAACTCATACATTTCAAAAAGAGGGACAGGACTTGTTTTGATTTCACTGAGCTACTTATACAAGTCAGTGGTCCAAGTCAACAGGGTAATAGTATAATTTTCATGCACAATGAACCCTCAACAGTTTTTATAAGACAAAACTAGAGCAGCTCATTAAAATGGCATTGAGGGTAAAATCAGAAAGACAAAATGCCAGCTACTAATGGTTGAGGGTAGGCAATAAGGCAGGAGGAAAACATATCAATTAATACTTTGAAACAATCTCACCACAGTGTATCCTTTTCAGACTTTTACGTTTGTCTCTGCCAATAAGTTTGATACTTGGTTAATTACTATCTTCTGCATTAATTGCTATGTTTATTAGTATTTTCTCATTTTTCTAAGAGTTATGTCAGAACATTGAGACTGGAAAGTGTTGTTCACTCTGGGTTTTTTTGTTTTGTTTTGTTTTGTTTTGAGATGGAGTCTTGCTCTGTCGCTCAGGCTGGGGTGCAGTGACATGATCTTGGCTCACTGCAGCCTCCGCCTCCTTGGCTTAAGCAATCCGTCCTCCTCAGCCTCCCAAGTAGCTGGGATTACAGGTGCACACCACCATGCCAAATTTTTGTATTTTTTTGTAGAGACAGGGTTTAACCATGTTGCTTAGGCTTGTCTGAAACTCCTGGGCTCCAGCAATTTGACTACCTCTGCCTCCCAAAGTGCTGGGATTGGAGGCATGAGCCACTGCACTCAGCCCACTCTGTTTTTGAATCTGCTATGTTTCTTGACAGTCTCAGGCACCTTGACTAGTCAATTAATCACTACTTGTTTAAATTTTAGTTTATTGAATGAGGAATATTTGCCAGTAGGAACAAGCAATAGAAAATTTTATGATATAGCAAAATATAATATTATGATCAAAGAATCTAAGAGAATAGAGATGATAATGTAAAATTTACAGCAATTTTTCTTGCTTTATCTTTTCAGAGCTATTCAGAAATTTAAGAGATGTATTGTCTCCTGCCCTCATACCCTATTTTATTGCAGTAGAACTGAGGCTTAATTATGTAAAATGACTTCCCGGGGTCAAAAGTTCATTTATTACCGAGCTGAACGTAGAATCTATTGATATTACTAAAATTTGTTATGTAAGGTATTGTTGACATCTGTGTTGTTCTTATATTGCATGTAAATCTTTATAGAACTTTATAGCAGCACGATTTGCAATTGTAACAATGTGGAACCAGCCCAAATGCCCATCAATCAAGAAGTGGGTAAAGAAACTGTGGTATATATATATATGATGGAATACTACTCAGCCATAAAAATGAATGAATTAATGGCATTCACAACAACCTGTGTGAAACTGGAGACTATTATTCTAAGTGAAGTAACTCAGGAATGGAAAACCAAACATCATATTTTCTCACTTATAAGTGGGAGCTAAGCTATGAGGATGCAAAGGCATAACAATGATGCAATGGACTTTGGGGACTCTGGGAAAGGGTGGGAAGCGGGTGAGAGATAAAAGACTACAAACTGGGTTCAGTGTATACTGCTCGGGCGATGGGTGCACCAAAATCTCTCACAAATCACCACTAAAGAACCTACTCATGTAACAAAATACCACCCGTTCCCTAAAAACCTATGGAAATAAAAAAAATATTTAGAAAAATTTTGGTTTTGTCCTAACATGTTTAACTATAACACAATAAAAAATCTGACCTAATTTGGAGATTCTGAAGTAATTTGGAGATTCTTATTTATTTCCATCTCTTCATCTTCTATTTCTTTAGAAGAATGTGCTCTTGTTTGTTTTTTAATTTTCAGTCGAATTAAAAATAAAAATAAAATCATATTTCAGTTCTATGATTTGAGTGCATCTCTTAAAAGTTCATGTGTTGAAAACTTAATTGTCAATTCAACAGTGTTGGGTGGTGGGGCTTAATAAGAGGTGATTGGGTCATGAGGGCAGAACCCTCTTGAATGAATTAATGTCATTAACATGGGAGCAGGTTATTCATTATAAAAGTGGGTTGTTATAAAGTGAGACCAGGATGAACATGGTGGCTCACACCTGTAGTCTCAACACTTGGAAGGCCAAGGCAGGAGGATTGCTTGAACCCAGGAGTTTTAGATCAGCCTGGACAACATGGGGAGACTCTGTCTCTACACAAAGTTAAAAAATTAGTGGGGTGTGGTGGCACATGCCTGTAGTCCCAGCTACTTTAGAGGCTGAAGTGGGATGATGGTTTGAGCCCAGGAGGTAGAGGCTGTAGTGGGCCATGATGCTGCCACTGCCCTCTAGCCTGGACGACAAAGTGAGACCTGTCCTTGCAAAGTAAAAATAAAGAAATAAAATGAGTCCAGCTGCTGGTGCCTCCCTGTACCTTACGCACTTGCTTCTGTCTTTTGTCTTTGACCATGGGATGACCCTTAGCAGACACTATTGTCATGCTCTTAGACATCCCATCCTCCAGAACCATGAGCCAAATAAACATCTATCCTTTATAAATTACCCAGTCTGTGGTATTCTGTTACAGCAGCAGAAGATGGACTAAGGCACCAGTAACTGTTTCTTTTATTTTTTTTTTCTTACAAAAGAAACTTTCTAGTATTTTATGGAAATAAGGCTTGATTATTTTGCCTTGTACTTTCATGTCCTTCTGTTCTCTCTTTTCCCCTTCATCCTTTCTTTACAAGGAAATGTTTAAATTAGAAATGTGGTACCCTTTACCACAGTAAAGTAAAATATAGAAACTTCCATAATCTATTAAAACAGTTGTTCTTGCAATCAAGACAAAGGGGAATTTATTATTTAACTTCAAATATCAAATAAGAAATATGTCTTTTGAAAAGAGTGAAAAGATGATAATCCTTTGTGATTATAGATTTTTTCTTCTCTAATTTTTAATTCATATTACAGTTAAAGATCTCTAAGCTGCTCTTTATCTCCAAACAATTTTTTACTATTAGTGCCTTTTAAATTCTGAGTATAACCAGCATGAAATGTTTTAGTTATTCTAAGTTATAACTGCATTTTAAATCCAAAGTCCTTTTATAAGTTGATAGGAATAATAGTTATCATTTCTCAAATGCTCAATTATGGCATTGAATTCTTTCATATTATTAAATTTAGTAGTAATCGTTGTTTGTATGGATAAGCTATTGTACTCATGTTCAATTTTTTTCCTTCCTACTAGTAGACTATTAAATAAAAGTTAAAATTGTCATATTTACTAATTGTGTAGTTCAATATTGATCATTTGATCACTCACAATACAGAGTTTGTCAATGTTAACTGTAACTGTTACCTTTCTGTGAAATTTATGAGAGACAAGATAAAAATGATACTTTGTAGAAAGCAGAGTACAAGAGGAGGCAGAGTATAAGAGAATGAATCACTGTCAAGGGCAGGTTAGGCATCATTGTAGCAATTAGTATTTAATCTTCTTTGTGACTGTATCAAAATGTCATCTCAGTTTGACCAGCAGTTTGACATTTAATTGCTGGAGAGTTAAAAGCTCAGCCAAGCACATAGTGAGTGGTTAAAGGTGTGTATCTGTATTCCCACTTCCACTGTTTAAATTGAACTCAGCAAAAATTAGTAGTGAAACCTTAGGTAAGTTAGTTAAACATGTTAAGTCTGATTTTCCTAATTTGTAAAAGTCAGTAATAATATTACCTACAGTAGTGGTAGCTGTTGGTATGAAACAAGGTTTCTATACATGTGGTAATTTAATAAGGATGCTATGTAAAAAATGTTAGTGCAATGTTATGCGTAATTTTAATGGCTGGGCGCAGTGGCTTACCCCTGTAAGCCCAGCACTTTGGGAAGCCAAGGCGGGTAGATCACTTGAGGTCGGAGTTTGAGACCAGCCTGACCAACATGGTGAAACCCCATCTCTACTAAAAATACAAAAGTGAGCTGGGCGTGGTGGCAGGTGCCTGTAGTCCTAGCTACTCAGGAGACTAAGGCAGGAGAATCACTTGAACCCAGGAGGTGGAGGTTGCAGTGAGCCAAGATCATGCCCTTGAACTCCAGCCTGGGCAACAGAGCGAGATTCCGCCTCAAAAAAAAATTAATAATAAGAAGAAGAATTATAATGACCATACTAATCTACCACATAGAAAAAACCCATGACATAAATCATTATCCAGGGTTAATATTGTGTCTTAAGTAATGTGGTTATATATATATATATTTCCCTGTGGCAGCATAGAGAATATGTTAAGAGGAAAAAGAACTATAGTAGACAGAGAAAAAGAAGCAAAAAGAGAAAAAGCCTCCATAATTAAAGAAACGATTATCAGCCTTTTTCTTTTTCTTCCCAAGTATGAAAAAATTTTCACAGTAAAAATGGTAAAATTCATTTTTCTATTATAATATTATATAAGAATTTAAGATTTGAGATTAGAGTTTTCTCCAATTGGAAGAAAATGGGCTGGAGAATGCATGTTGAGGTCAAAGCATTTGTGCTTCAAGATACAAACTTGGATTCCAGTCCTAGTTCTTCAACAAACATGTGTGACAATCAATAAGTCACTTCTCGGGAATGCAGGTTACTTATATGTGTAAAGTAAGTTGGAAAGAAGTAGCAGTTTTCAACATGTGCTCTATAAAAGTTGGATTTCTTGGTCAAATAAGTTTGGTAAATGTTGCATTCCATATCTCCCTGTCTGAAATTCTCACAAGGGCCTGAACTCATTAAAGCCCCTAAAAGTCTTGTAGTAAAAACATCTAGCTATTTTTTTTACCGAGGTTTTACAAGTCTATTTAATCATGTTACTCTTTTAATAACAGCCTTGTAGAACTGCTATTCAATGGGCTAAACTTTAGAAAAACTGGACTAGGGAATAGTTGATTTCTTCCATGTTTCCACTCCACTTCATGAACTTTGGTGATAAGGAAAGTGCATATTAACTTTATTAGAAAATCTAATCAATTAACTGTTTTCTTCTGAGTCACCTGGGGGTAATGACTAAGGGAGGGAGAATATTGAGCTATTAATTTCTTCTATATGTCTGTGGCACAAGGGTCACAGAAAGAAAATTAAATTTGGTTTACTAGAGCAAAGTAAAACCAGGTATTTTTATTGTTTGTTCTGTGATACGAGAATAGTTAGAGAAGACCACAAATGCTTGACTGTATCTATATCAGAATAAACAATAATAAACAAGTTCTGAATTTCTAAATCTGTAGTTTATTCTTAATAAAGCTTTTTATTCTTCTTTCATGCAAATAAAATATAGCTAGCATTTGTAGAAAGGTTAATACATAAAAATACAAAAGTAGTTTTTCAGAGAATTGTTGTCACTTATTGGAGCTAGGAAGCACATTTGTTAGAGTAAAATAGGAAACTTTTTTACTTTTACTTGAATAAATCATTCTGTAGGTTTTTCAGTATAATTGGCCCTATGACTTGCCTCAAAGATTATGGTGAATGAAATTATCCATTCATTGATGGTCATGTTTTGAGTATGAGCTTTTATACCCACGGATAAAATAAATCACCCAAGGAATGACCATTCTCCCTGCAGGACTGCAATCCAGTCTTCATTGGACAGAATACGGCTACAGCTCCCTGGGTGGTGGAGAAGTTGCTGAGGTGCTGTGCTGGCAGAACTTGCTAGAAATCTGCCCTCTGGAGTGCTGGGGGATGTGGTTCACAGAAATGTCCCCTACCTCTGGAATCACATGCATGCTAACTGAGGGGGTCTGGGGAAAGAGTTATAGGGGGAAGTAGTTTACTAGAGGCACTTCCTAAAAAGCTATCTGAAGGGTGCCAGAGGAAACTGCTGGTTATTGGGTACTGATAACCAATGTACCCTGTGGGAGCCAAGCACTGAAGAAGCTGTTCCTTGCAGGAGCAAGACTCTGGGATAACATATGCAAAAGAAAGTTGGTGCTGGAAAAATATTTGCTGCAGGAGCCTGGTAAGGGAGCACTAGAATGAAGAGAAGAAAAGCCCTTTCTCCTGCAGTGTCTCTCCAGTGCCCTGTAATGACCAAGCTTAACATCATGCCAGCTGGCAAATGATCTAAAGAGTCCGACTCTATCTTTACAGCAGGAAATGAAGGATGAATTTGGAACTGAAAGGCAATAAATTGATAACGGGCGCACATACTCATTATAATTTTGGCAGGCATAGTTCCTGAATTAAGAGTGTGTATATATGTTTGCATAATTTAAGCTTTATTTTAAAATTTATAGGCAGAATTCTGTAATAGCCCCCAAGGTTCCTATTCCCTGAGTACACACTTTATAGAGTCTCCTCCTGTTGAGAGCAGTGAGAACCTGAAAATATGATTGGATCACACTCTTGTGACTCTTGGGATTATGTTACACATCTTTTGACTTTGAGATGTTTATCAAAAGGGAGATCATCTTGGGTAGGACTAACTTGATCAGGTAGCTGAGTCCTTTGCGCAAAAAAGCAAGACATCAGAGAGCTGCTGTTCAGTTGTTCTAGAAGTTGTCACAGCTCTGTTGCGATGGGACCCATGGAGGAGGTCATCTGGCAGAGTGGTCTCTAGAAGCTGAGACAGATCCCCACCCAAAAACTACCAAAAAATGGGAACTTCAATCATACGCCCTCAAGGAAATTAATTCTGACAATAACCTGTGAGCTTAGAAGAGGACTCCAAGCTCAGATGAGATTGCAGTTCCTGCCATCATCTTGATTGTAACTTTATGAGTCCCTGAGCAAAGAATCCAGGCATGCTGTGCCTGGACTTACACCTGCAGAAAATGTGAGATAATATATCAGTGCTGTTTTTAACTGTGAAGTTTGTGGTAATTTGTTATAAAGCAAAAGTAAAACAAATATAAATAGTATTTTTCTTGCTTTCTCCCTACTGCTCATCTACAAGAAGCATTCCTTGCTATTTCTGCGCTCCTATCTAAGGTCAAATGTTTTTCATTGTCTCTCAACTAATTTCTTATGGCAAATAATTAAAATGTTGCCTAATAAATTTTAAAAATGATAAAACACTTCCCAGAACTAATAGCTACTTGTAAAATATGTCAGTGGTAGAGCTTTGCTAGAGCGTTCCTGATAATGAAATAATAAAAGCTAGCATTTATTGGTAACACACATGGCGTGTGAGACAAATACTTTACCAGGAATTATATATTAGTCATTTTGAATTCTTCCAGTGGATTCTATGAGTTAGACTGCATTTTCATCCTGAAGTTTTACAACATTAAACGGCTTGCCCAAAATACAACAAAGAGTGATTGATTAAGGTATCATATCCAGGATTGCCAGTGTGAATCCCAAATTAATTGCACAATACAAAACTGCCTCAAACTGAAGTGACTGCGGTTTGGATTGACTGATAATAACCAATTCTGATTCTAGCACTAATGTTTACAAAATTTTTTTTGCAGACATTTTACAATAATGCTATGTTTGGAGCCACATGGTAGGAACATATAATGTTAAAAACATGATTCGAAAAAAATATTTTAGTAACTATGGCAGGTACTACTAGTTATCTAGAACATTCATTCTTTCTTCCTCCTAGTTAGATGGATTTGTCTGAGGACGTGATCCCCCATCTACTCTCTACATTTCCTTAATGATGCTACTAGTAAAATTAAAGCCAAGCAATTAAACCCTACCTAATGATATGTCAGCAGAAGTGATGCAAATGAATTCATAATCACATTCTTAAAAAAAAGCAACTTGTAACTTTCCATCAACTCTCTCTCTCTTTTTAACTACTTCAGGTAATTAAATGTATGGACATAATGGTGGGTGAGGGCCAATTTTTCCAGAATTAACTTTAAGATGTTTTCCCCTATTTCCTTCAAGATCCAGTGCATGATATTTATTAGGTATAGCCTGAGACAAGAACAAATTACAAAACTAAACAGATGGAGCATATTCTATTCAGTGCATTGTGGAGTTATGGGAAAGTTAGACATTGAGAGACCTGGGCAGTCAAATGGATGCATCCTGAAGGAGAATGGGAATTTAAAATGTGTGTGTTTTCTACTCTTCTATCATAAAAATAAGTATTTTAAAGTTTTTCCACCAACAGTAAAGCAGGACTAATACATGAACTTTGTACTGTTCATAAATGTAATTATCTGAAAAAACATAGGCAACAGTTTCTTGATATTTTTATTTTTTATATGAAACAGGAATTTTACAAAAAGGGATAATAACCATTTGCTATGTGGTAAGGTTTGGGGGTGAAGGACAAAATATTTTGAAACTCTGTGAAAGGTAAGGGAATCAGAGCAGAGCTTCCCACAGCAGAGTTAGGGGCACAGTCTCTGCTTCATTGTGCTAGAATTACACAATCTTTCAAGACTCCAGAGTCTGCTCTGTCTTCCTTCTGTTCAGTGAGACAGCCCTTCCTTCCCAGCATTCACTGCTCACTTTAGATGAGTAAAAGTAGATCAAAGCAAGAGAGAGAATAAAAAGTTTGTCACAAAATGATTTTAGAGCCAGTTGTATCTGGGTCAGAATCACATATGGGGAGCCCAGAAAGAAGATTGTTAGACCATGTATAAGGCCAACTAGTATGTATTTTATATATTCTTAAAATTTAACATGCATTAACCTTCCTCTCATGGGTTCCTTTTAACCTTAGTAATGAAAAAATGTGTGAAATTATGAAGACAAAATTATATGACACAAGAAGCCTTAGAGCTTATATAATCCTGCCCTCCCATTTGACTTTTATTTTATAGATGAGAGAACTGAATCCCAGGAAGGTTAAGTGGCTTAACCTTAATTCACACAAATATTTATTTATATAGCAAGATCCAATATTAAGAACAAAAGCAGTTTTTTTCCTGCTTCTTCACCCAATATATGGTCTTTGATTCATTGGACAGATAATAAACTTTAATGAACGTTATTTTTATAATATTATCTTTTAAATGTCATTTTCAATACCACGGCATTTCCAGGTATTGTTAACAAAAGGAAAAAAGTGGTAGTTAGAAACATAACACATCATTTATCATATTCCCCTAGCTCCACACGTTTTGGCAGTTAACATTTCTGTATTTGTGTTCTTAGCTACCCTTACACGTTTTGAGGGATAAATCTTAAAACCCTCATATAAAGAATTAGAAAGAGCGACTATGTGAACAAAAATAAAACCAGGAAATATGACTTTTTCTTTTACGTATAGAAGATCATATGAGACTCTTCTGTGACATGTATTCATAAAAGTTGTACATTCTCTGCAATGGAGTTACCTTTGGGCTTTGTCAAATCTTGTTGCATAACAGTCATATATGGAAGGGGTGGATTACAAGGATATAAAAGATTAGTCAGAATGTTATTAATCTACTCCTGGGTGAATTATTTCATGCAGCATAGCTATCAATAAATCCAGAAGTCTTCAGATAAGTTTTAAATGGGCTCTACTGTGCAAAGGAGTGGGGTAAGCACACACAGAAGTCAGTTGCCTTAATGCTATCATATTTAAACAGGCTTCAGTGCTCAACATGCCAACATGCTTGGAAATTCTTCAATACCATGACCTCTAAAAGCCCAGCTAATTTAGTGAAAAGAGAAACAAGGGTAAGTTATTTTTGAGAGAGTTTACTACCTCCTTTGCTTGTTAGTTGCTTGTTCAATTCCCACCTACTCACCATTGTGGACTGAATGTATCCCCTCAAAATTTGTATGTTGAAGACCTAATCTCCAATATAATAGTATTTAGAGACGGGACCTATGGGAGGTTAGATGAGGGTGGAGCCCTTATTGAAACCATCCCTCTAAACTTTATAAAATTAATCAGAGAAGGGAGGGGACAAAATGAAAATAAACCAAGCCTGAGCATATGTAGCATTAATCATTACATCAACTTTCTCTCTGACCTGCTTTCTCATAGTGTTTGCCTGTTGTCTTAGAATCATATAGACCATAGATTATAGTTCTCCTTAACTGCTCTATTGATGAAAACTTGAACATTATAAAATGTTAATTTTTCCCGTTGAAATATTCTTTTAGGTCCTGCATACCAATGAAACTGCTGACATCAGCTGATCTGAATGACCCAACAAAAAGCTTACATACACAAAGAATGCAGTTTTCACATCCTAATCATTTCATTCTCCTTACCCTGACCAATCAATGATCCCAATTTGCCAGTCCCATACCCTCCACAATTTTCTTAAAAACCCCAGATCAGTATATTCCTTGGGGAGATGGATTTTGGTGTTTTCTGCCATCTCCTTGCTTGGCTGTCCTGTGATCTTTAAACACTTTTTCTGCTGCAACCCTGCTGTCTCAGTGTACGGATATGTTACTGTGCAGAGGGCATATGAAGCTGTTGGTCCTATAATATTATGATGGCATTAGTGGCCTTATAAGAATTAGAAGAGAAGCCAGGCACATTCGCACGCACCTGTAGTCCCAGCTACTCAGGAGGCTGAGGCAGGAGGATTGCTTGAGCCCAGGAGTTTAAGGCTGCAGTGTGCTTTGATCATTTCTTTGAGTAGCCACTGTACTCTAGCCTGAGCAACATAGCAAGATCCCATCTCTATCAAAGCAGGAATTGGAAGAGAGAGAGAGATATAAATTTTTTCTCTGCCTATGCACACTCATAGGAAAAGTCATGTGAGGACATAGCAAGAAGGCAGCTACCTGAAATCAAGGAAGAGAGTGCTCACAAGAATCCAATCATGCTGGCAGCCTGATCTTGACACTGTAGACTCAAGAACAGTAAAGAAAATAAATATTTCTGTTATTGAAGCCACTTGGTTTATGGTGTTTTATTATGGCAGCCCAAGCTGACTAAGACATTCACTATAAAAGGACAATTATGTATTGGACAGTATCATTAATATAGATGTATAAGGAAGAATTGGGCAATGAATACATTAATGACAGGACATAAGAATGATGATGAGACATTTGAATAAGAAAGATAATATTACTTGCAGGACAGAAGAAAAAAACAGAGCCAGAAAGAAACGTGAAACATAGGTGAGAATGAACCTCTTCTTGGTGATAAAAATGGGTAATATAAATAATTTGAAGAGGTGTTTATATCTATTTAGATGATATTGAAAGTGACAGAGATACTGATGGATGTTTTGCTGTGCATAAAGAATATATGTGTCTTCTTTTGAGAACTGTAAGTAGTATTTTAAAATTCAATAAATTTAATGAAACAACCATGATGCAAAGATTGAGCCAAGTGGAATCCCTATTATATTTGGGTTGTAATATGCTTTCATTTAACTCTTGAAATAATGTTATGAAATGTATTTAGTCATTGTATTTTTTTGTTAAGAAAATTAGACCTCAGGGAGATTAGGCAGATTTTCAAGATTCCATAGCTTATAAGAAGTGGAATAGAGATTATAACCCATGTCTAACTAATTTCGAAGTCGATAGTCTTCATTACATTACACTACACAGAAAATTTTCAACATGGAAAGAAACTGAAATATATGAAGACAGCCTAATGAGATTACAAAGACAGCCTAATGAAATTACAAAGGCAATTGCAAAGGATAGTCATCCTTTCTCATATATTCAGTACTACTGTGGGTCAGCTTTTTCTTTTACTGAGATGATGAACTTGGAGTCTGTCCAGATTGTAAGAGAACTTAAAGCTCACTAAGTTTATCTATTATCTGAACTTTACATTGTCATGGACTGAAACTAACAGTGCAGATAGAAGGTATGGTATCATTGTTGTGGTGTATTAAAAGTAGACCAGATAGAGAATGAAAGAGCCTAAAATCTGGTATTATTACAGTTTGTACGTATAACATTTAAATGGTATTTAGCTTTTGTAAGCCTCAATTTCCTAGGGCATTCAAATCAGTTTTCTCTAATATTTCATTATGTTCTCATTATTTCATTGCTTCTGTAATTCTAAAGTGGAAACTGATTTTTGTGGCACATATACACCCTTAATATTTTGATATTTATCTATCAGTCTAATATTTATATTAGATCTGAAATTATCAAGTTGCATAAGTGAAAGCCCTATCAGTAATGATGCCTGGGCCCAAAACATTTAAAAATGGATCTGGAGGCAGCTTCAGTTAATGTTAAAGTGAGGTAGTTAGGATAATCTCTTCTCAGTAGATAGTAATATGGAATAAAAACAAAACATATGTGTGTATATAACCTAAATATTATAGATATGTTTATATATGTATATGCACATGTGTTCGTGTTTTATTATTATTTTTAAAAACAGTGTAAAGTAACCAAAACCAGGGAGAAATTGGAGATAAGTTTACCCTTGAAAGACTCAATTGAAACAGATCAAAACTGAGATCTTTTGGCTTTCTTTCCAGAGGTTGATCTCCAATCACCTCAGCTAAGGCAATAGAAAATTACATCCTTTGGAGCTGGAGGTGGCACAGTGCAGAGTTGAGGGCTGGCAGGATAAATGACAATTTAGGGGAAATTTCAGGAAGTGAGAGACCAACAAATGAGGTGAGAACTAAAATATGAGTATAATCTCTGCCCATATCCCCTGACTTCCCCTAAAACTTTCTATGTAGATGGGAATCCAAAGCCTGGTGAACAAAAGGGACACAATTCAGAGAGGAATCTACCCTTGAAAGACAGAACTCGCAAGTGCACTGCCTGAGTGACAGTGCAAGGCTCAACCATATATACCTCGGGTGACAGAAAGCTGAAGACTTAGTGGCCTGACATGGCAGAAGACAGAGTTCAGGACTACCAGAGCAGTTAGAAATTTAGTGGAGATTCCAGTAACAAAGGAATTACACAGCAAGTAAGCTCCTACATCTGTATATAAACTTTCCTCAAATCTTTGACTGATCCACACAGGTTCAAGCAAATTCTAACATGTATAAGGAAGTATAAAGGGCCTAGAATAGAAAATGAAATTTTGAAAAAGTAATAAAGTTGTAGCACTTATGCTACTGATTTTATGACTTATTCTTGAGTAAGAAAGACAGTGTACTAATGGCATAAATATAGACATATTATCAATAGAACAGAAAGGAGAGTCTGGAAATATGTGGTCAATTAACTTTGACAAAGGCTTGAAGGTAAACAATAGAGAAACAACTGTCTTTTCAACAGATAGTATTAAAACAATTATATTTCCATTTAGAAAAATAGATCTTTACCTGTACCTCACACCATGCACAAATATTAACTTAAAATGGATCATAGCTTTAAATGTAAAAGCTATGACAATAAAACAGAGAAAATGTTTGCCACTTTGGGGTAAGACAAAATTTTAAGGGCATAAAAAGCACAAATAATGAGAGAAATAAGTTGAATTCCATACAAATTGAAAAGGTAAGCCACACATTGAGATAAAATATTTAAAATACATATGTCTGACTAAATAATGCAAAATACCTATAAAATTTAAGATAACAAACCACCCCATTGGAAAGATGGACAAATGATTTGAACACTATAGAAGAACAAGGCAGGATGCAGTGGCTCACATCCCAGAGGACTGGGAGGCTAAGAAGGGAGGATCGCTTGAGGCCAGGTGTTTAGGAACAGCCTAGGCAACATAATGAGATCCCATCTCTACAAAAAATGTTAAAAATAATTAACAGGTGTGGAGGCTGGTGCCTGTGGTCCTAGCTACTTGGGAGGCTGAGGTGGGAGGATCACTAGAGCCCAGGGATTAGAGGTTACAGTGTACTATGATAGTGCCACTGCACTCCAGCCTGGGTAACAGAGAGAGACTCTGGCTCAAATGAAAGAAAAAAAGCACCACATATTTTTATGGCAAAAAATCACATGGAAACATTATTAGTCATCAGGAAGATTTTAAATAAAATCACAATGAAATATGACTGTGTACCGACTTGAATGGCTAAAATTGAAAAGCCTGACCGTATCAAGTATCAACCAGAATATAAAGCCACTGGAATGTTCAGACATTTCTGGTAAGAATGTAAACTGCTACACTTTGAAAACAAGTTGGGTGGTATCTCATAAAGTTAAACACGCACTAACTGTAAGATCTAGTGGTTACACTTCTAGTTATGTATGGAGAAAAATCAAAACTTATGTCACAAAAAGACTTGTACAGGAGTACTCTGAGCAGCTTTATTCACATTAGACCAAAACTGGAAATTCAAATATCCAATCAAATATCCAACAGGTGAGTAAATAAAGACAAACTAGTGTGTGTGTGTGTATACATATATATATATATGCAATATAATGCCATTGAGGAATAGAAATAGATACACTACTAATGTCTTCAACAACATGAATTAATCTCTGAGATATTATGTTGAATTAAAAATCCAGATATTGCCTGGTATCTTGATGTAATATTCTGAAAAAGACAAGCAAACACATAATGATAGTGAAGTGCTCAGAGGATACCTAGGGGGAGAAGGAGGTAGAAATTTATTGCAAAGGGGCAGAAGAGGGACTTCTGGATTTACAGAACTATTCTCTAACTTGAGTTTGGTCATGGTTGCCTGAGTGTATATATTTGCTAAAACTTATTAAACTAAACAATATGTGCATTTTATTATATACAATGTATATCTCAATAAAGTTGATTAAAAAGATAGATGATTAAATGCAAACTATAAAAGAAGACGAAATATAAATTTTATTTTATTATAACTATTACCATTATTATTTTACTATCCTAAGCTTTTTTTCTTGGCAAGAAATACCTGGTAAGATTGTATTTTTTTGTTTTATTTGTTGCTTTTAGGTAATGGTAAGATTTGATGTACATTTAAAAAGCACATTGAATATATCAAATTACAAAATAAACCTTTTTTTCAACTTTTACTTTAGATTCAGTGGGTACACAGGCAGATTTGTTATCTGGGTATACAGCATGATGCAAAGATTTGAGGTATGATCCCATCATCCAGTTACTGAGGGTAGTATCCAGCAGTTAGTTTTTTCAGTCTTTGCTCCTATCCCTCCCTTTCCCCTCTACTAGTCCGCAGTTTCTATTGTTCCCATCTGTATGACGCTGAGTACCTAATGTTTAGCTCTCACTTATAAGTGAGAACATGTGGTATTTGGGTTTCTGTTCCTGCATTAATTTACTTAGGATAATGACCTCCAACTGCATCCATGTTGCTGCAAAGGACATAATTTCATTCTATTTTATGGCTGCATAGTAGTCTATGGTGTATATGTACCACATTTTCTTTATCTAGTCCACCATTGATGGGCACCTGAATTGATTCCATGTGTTCGCTACTGTGAATAGTGCTGCATTGAGCATGTGAGTGCATGTGTCTTTTCAATAGAACAATTTATTTTCTTTTGGATATATACCCAGTAATAGGATTATTGGGTAAATGATAGTTCTAAGTTCTTTGAGAAAGAACATAAAAAACTTAAGCTTTTCACAGTAACTGAACTGATTTATATTCCTATCAGTAGTGTATAAGCACTCCCTTTTCTCTGCTACCTAACTACCATCTGTTATTTTTTGACTTTTTAGCAATAACCATTCTGACTCGTGTGAGATGGTTTCTTATTGTGGTTTTGATTTGCAGTTCTCTGATAATGAGGGATGTTGAGCGTTTTTTCATAAGCTTGTTGGCTGCTTCTATGTCTTCTTTTGAGAACTATCTGTTCATGTCTTTTGCCTATTTTTAATGGAATTATACATTTTTTGCTTGTTAAATTCCTTATATATTCTGGATATTAGACATTTGTCAGATACATAGTTTGCAAATATTGTCTCCTATTTTGTAGGTTGCCTGATTACTCTCTTGATAGTTTCTTTTGTTGTGCAGAAGTTCTTTAGTTTAATTAGATCCCACTTGTCAATTTTTGTTTTTGTTGCAATTGCTTTTGAGTACTTAGCCAAAATTTCTTTGCCAAGGCTGATGTCCAGAATGGTGTTTCCTAGATTTTCTTCTAGAATTCTTATCCATTTAGGTCTTATATTTAAATCTTTAGTCCATCTTGAGTTAATATTTGTACATAATGACAGAGAAGAGTCCAGTTTTTTCTTCTGCATATGCCTGGCCCACTATTCCAGCACCGTTTTTGAATAAATATTTCTTTCCCCATTCCTTACTTTTGTTGACTTTGTTGAAGATCAGATGGCTGGAGGAATGTGGCTTTATTTCTGGTTTCTCTATTCAGTTTCATTGGTCTTGTTCTTGTACCAGTACCATGCTGTTTTGGTTACTGTGGCCTTATAGTGTAGTTTGAAGTCAGGTAATTTGATGCCTCCAGCTTTGTTCTTTTTGCTTAGGATTGCTTTGGTTATTCAGGCTCTTCTTTGGTTCCATATGAATTTTAGAATAGTTTTTTTCTAGTTCTGAGAAAATGACATTGATAATTTGATAGGAATACTGTTGAATCTGTAGATGGCTTTGGGAAGTATGGCCATTTTAACATATTGATTTTTCCAATTCATAAGCATGGACCATTTTTTCACTTGTTTGTGTCATTTATAATTTATTTCAAGAGTGTTTTATAGTTTTCCTTGTAGTGATCTTTCACCTCCTTGGTTATAAATGGGATTGCATTCTTGATATGGCTGTAAGCTTGAATGTTATTAGTGTATAGAAATGACACTGGTATTTGTACACTGATTTTGTATCCCAAAACTTTACTGAAGTCATTTATCAGTTCTGGGAGTCTTTGGCAGTCTTTAAAAGGGTTTTCAAGGTACAGAAACATATTATCTACATAGAAAGATAGTTTGACTTCTTCTTTTTCTATTTGGATGCATTTTATTTCTTTCTCTTGCCTGATTGCCGGGCTAGCACTTCCAGTACTATGTTGAATAGGAGTGGTGAGAGTGGTCATCCGTGTCTAGTTCTTGTCCCTGTTCCAGTTCTTAAGGGAATGCTTCAGGCTTTTGTCCATTCAATATGATGTTGGCCTTGGGGTTGCCATAGGTGACTCTTATTTTGTGAGCTATGTTCCTCTGATGCCTACTTTCTTGAGGACTTTTTTTTTCTTTTTTTTGGAGATGGAGTCTCCCTCTGTAGCCCAGGCTGGAGTGCAGGGGCATGATCTCAACTCACTGAAACCTCCACCTTCCGGGTCCCAGTTCAAGCAATTCTCCTGCCTCAGCCTCCTGAGTAGCCAGGAATACAGGCACCCACCACGATGCCCAGCTAATTTTTGTATTTTTAGTAGAGACAGGGTTTCACCATGTTGGCCAGGCTGGTCTTGAACTCCTGACCTCGTGATCTGCCTGCTTCGGCCTCCCAAAATGTTGGGATTACAGGCTTGAGCCACCGTGCCCAGGCTCTTCGGGATTTTTATCATGAAAGGATGTTTAATTTCATTGAAAGCTTTTTCATTAAAAGCTTTATTTCAATAAGCTTTTTAATTCAAAAAGCTTTTTTTTTTCAGTAAAAGCTTCTAATAAGATGATCACATGGCTCTTGTTTTTAATTCTGTTTATGTGGTGAATCATGTTTATTTATGTGTGTATGTTGAACCAACCTTATATCCCAGGAATGAAGCCTGCTTGCTCACGATGAACTAGCTTTTTGATATGCTGTTGGATTCAGTTTGCTAGTATTTTGTTGAGGATTTTTGCTTCTATGTTTATCAGGGGTGTTGGCCTGTAGTTTTTTTTCACTGTGTCTTTGCCAGGTTTTCGTATCAGGATGTTGCTGGCTTTGTAGAATGAGTTAGGGAGGAGTCCCTCCTCGTCAATTCTTTTTGGAATATTTCGGTAGTATTGGTACCAGCTCTTCTTTGCACATCTGGTAAAATTTGGCTGTGAATCCCTCTTGTCCAGGGCTTTTTTAAATAGGAAGTTTTTAAAATTACTGCTTCAACCTCAAAACTCGTATTGGTCTGTTCAAGGTTTTGGTCTGTTTAGGGTTTTAATTTATTCCTGATTCAATCTTTGAAGATTGTGTGTTTCCAGAAATTTATCTGTTTCCTGTAGAATTTCTAGTTCTTGTACATAGAAGTGTTCATAGTAGTCTCTGAGGAGCTTTTGTATTTCTGTAGGATTGTTTGCGATGTCATCTTTTTCACTTCTGATTATGCCTATTTGAATCTTCTCTTGTTTTCTTTGTTAATCTAGCTAGCAGTCTATCAATCTTGTTTATCCTTTTAATGAACCAACATTTACTTTTGTTGATTCTTTGTATGCAGTTTTGTGTCTCAATTTCATGCAGCTCTGCTCTGACTTTCTTTTCTTCTGCTAGCTTGGGGGATACTTTGTTTTTTGGGTTTTTTTCGTTTGTTTGTTTGTTTAGTTCCTACAGGTTTGATGTTAGATTTTTTTTTTCTTTTTTAAGACAGAGTCTTGCACTGTCACCCAGGCTGGAGTGCAGTGGCGTGATCTCGGCTCACTGCAACCTCCGCCTCCCAGGTTCAAGCGATTCTCCTGCCTCAGCCTCCCGAATAGCTGGGATAACAGGCACCCGCCACCACACCTGGCTAATTTTTTGTATTTTTAGTAGAGACAGGGCTTTACTATGTTGGATAGGCTGGTGTTGAATGCCTGAACTTGTGATCCCCCCCACCTCGGCCTCTCAAAGTGCTGAGATTACAGGCTTGAGCCACTGTGCCCAGTCAAGATTGTTAATTTGAGACCTTTCTAACTTTTGCAGGTAGGCATTTGGTGCTATAACTGTTTCTCTTAACACTATTTTTTGCTGCATCCCAGAGATTTTGGCATCTTATGTTTCTGTTTTCATTTATTTCAATAATTTTTTTGATTTCTGCTTTAATTTCTTGTTTTAATCAAAAGTCATTCAGGAGAAAGTTGTTTAATTTCCATGTAATTGTGCGGTTTTGAGAGATCATCTTGCTAGTGATTACAATTTTTATTCCACTGTGGTCTGAGAGTATGATTGGTATCATTTTGATTTTTTTATATTTATTGAGATTTGTTTTACGGCCAAAGGTGTGTTCAATATTAGAGTGCGTTTCACGTAGAGATGGGCAGAGTGTGTATTCTGTGGTTGATGGATGGAGTACTGTGTGGATTTCTATTAGGTCCAGTTGGCCAAGTGTCAAATTTAAGCCCAGAATATCTTTGTTAGTTTTCTGCCTTGATGATCTGTCTAATGTTGTCAACTGAGTGTTGAAGTCCCCCACTATTTTTGTGTGGTTTCCTAAGTCATTTTATAGGTTAAGAAGTACTTGGCTTATGAGTCTGGGTGTTCAAATGTTGAATGCATGTAGATTTTGAATAGTTAAGTTTTCTTATTGAATCGAACCCTTTGTCATTATGTAATGCTTATCTTTGCCATTTTTTAATTGGTTTAAAGTCTACTTTATCTGAAATAACAGTAGTAACCCTTCCTCTTTTTACTTTTCTGTTTGCATGGTAGATCTTTCTCCAACCCTTGACTTTGAGCGTATGCATATCATTATGTGTGAGATGGGTCTCTTGAAGACAGAAGTCTTGTTTTCTATCCAACTTGCCAGTCTGTCTTTTAAGTGCGGTATTCAGAGTATTACATTCAAGGTTAATATTGCTCTGTGAGATTTTGATTCTATTGTAAAGTTGTTAGCTGGTTGCTTTGTAATTTCTATTGTGTGGTTGCTTTATAGAGTCTGTGAGCTATGTACTTAAGGGTGTTTTTTAGTAGTAGGTATACATCTTTTATTTCTATGTTTAGAACCATCTCTTATAAGGTTGGTATACAGGTAATGAATTCCCTCAGCACTTGATTCTTTAAAAAATATTTTACTTCTCTTTTGTTTATGAAGCTTAGTTTAGTGGAAGATGAACTTCTTGGCTGGAATTTCTTGGCTTTAAAAATGCTAAAAAAATAGATCCCTAGTCTGTCCAGGTTTGTAGGTTTTTGTTGAAATGTTCACTGTTACCTTGATGGGATTTCCTTTGTATGTGGTCTGACCTTTTTCTCTAGCTGCCTTTGTGATTTTTTTCTTAAGCATTGGACTTGAACAGTCTCATGACTATCTGCCTTGGTGGTGTTTACTTTGTAGATGGTCTCTGGATTTCTTGTATCAGGATGTCAACATCTCTAGCAAGATTAGAGAGATTTTTCTTGAATTATTCTTCAAATATGTTTCCCAGGTTATTTGCTTTTTCTCCTTCTCTTTCAGGAATGCTATAATAATTCATAAATTTGATCACTTTACATAATGTCATGTTTCTCAAAGATTGTTCATCTAAAATTTTTTTTTTCTTTCTTTTTGTCTGTTTTAATTTCAAAGGCCATTCTTTAAGCTTTGAAATTCTTTCTGATGCTTCATCCAGTCTATTGTTAAAGCTTTCAATTGTATTTTGAAATTTCTTAAGTGACTTTTTCAATTCCAGAAGCTCTGATTAATTTTTTTAGGATGTTTATCTCTTCCTTTATTTCCTGGATTGCTTTGAAGTTTCCTTGTGTTGATTTTCAATCTTGTCGTGGATCTCATTGAGCTTCCTTGCAATCCATGCTTTAAATTCTTTATCTGTCATTTCTGAGTTCCCATTTTAGTTAGCATTGCTGGAGAGCTAGTGTGATCCTTTGATGGTGTCACTACCTTCAGAGTTTTCACAGTTCCAGAATTCTTCCACTGGACAGAATTCTTGTGCTGATTTTTTCTCATCTGTAGATGCTGGCACCTTTAATTTTTGTATTTATTTTCTTGCAGGTAGGAGTTTTTCTTTTTCTTTCTTTCTTTCTCTATAATATTATTTTTTTTCTTTCCCTTTCCCTTTCATCCTTTCCTAGGGGATGTGACTATGGAGAATAATGGGTGAGATCTTTTAGTTTTGTTTCTATGTAGCCCTATGCACTTCTGTTTTTTGTTTGTTTTTTATTTTTTAAAATTTCTTCTGAAAAAATGGGATACACATGCAGAATGTGCAGGTTTGTTACACAGGTATATGTGTGCCATGGTGGTTTGCTGCACCTACTGAACCATCCTCCAAGTTTCCTCCTCTCACCCCCCACCCCATACAGGCCCTGGTGTGTGTTGTTTCCCTCTCTGTCTCCATGTCTTCTCATTGTTCAACTCTCACTTGTGAGTGAGAACAGGTGGTGTTTTGTTTTCTGCTCCAGTGTTAGATTGCTGAGGATGATGGCTTCCAACTTCATCCCTGTCCCTGCAAAGGACATTATCTGATTCCTTTATATGGCTACATAGTATTCCATGGTGTATATGTACTATATTTTCTTTATCCGGTCTATCATTGATGGGCATTTGGGTTGGTTCTATGTCTTTGCTGGTATAAATAGTCCTGCAATAAACATACATGTCTATGTGTCTTTATAGTAGAATGATTTATATTCCTTTGGATATATACCCAGTAATGAGATTGCTGGGTCAAATGGTATTTCTGATTTTAGATCCTTGAGGAATTGCCATACTGTCTTCCGCAATGGTTGAACTAATTTACATTCCCACCAACAGTGTAAAAGTGTTCCTATTTCTCCACACGCTTGCCAGCATCTATTGTTTCCTGACTTTTTAATAATCACCATTATGACTGGCATGAGATGATATCTCATTGTGGTTTTGATGTGCATTTCTCTGATGATTAGTGATGTTGAGCTCTCCTTCATATGTTTGTTGGATGCATAAATGAATGAACTCCCATTCACAATTGCTACAAAGAAAATAAAATACCTAGGAAAACAGCTAACAAGGGATGTGAAGGACCAAGAAGAACTACAAACCACTGCTCAAGGAAATAAGAGAGAGCACAAACAAATAGAAAAAACATTTTATCCTCATGGATAGGAAGAATCAATATAATGAAAATGGCCATACTGCCCAAAGTAATTTACAGATTAAATGCTATTCACATCAAACTACCATTGACATTCTTCACAGACTTAGAAAAATCTATTTTAAATTTCAAATGGAATCAAAGAAGATCCCATATAGCCAAGACAATCCTAAGCAAAAAGAACAAAGCTGGAGGCATCACGCTACCTGACTCTAAACTATACTACAAGCCTACAGTAACCAAAACAGCATGGTACTGGTAGCAAAACAGATGTATAGACCAATGGAGTGAAACAGAGACCTCAGAAATAACATCTACAACCATCGATCTTCGACAAACCTGAAGAAGACAAGCAATGGGGAAAGGATCTCCTATTCAGCAAATGGTGCTGGGAAAACTGGCTAGCCATATGCAGAAAACTGAACCTGGACCCCTTCCTTACACCTTAGACAAAAATTAACTCAAGATGAATTAAAGACTTAAATGTAAAACCCAAAACCATAAAAACCCTAGAAGAAAACCTAGGCAATACCATTCAGAACACAGGCATGGACAAAGACTTCAGGACGAAAACACCGAAAGCAATTGCAACAAAAGCCAAAGTTGCCAAATGGGACCTAATTAAACTAAAGAGCTTCTGCACAGCAAGAGAAACTATCATCTGAGTGAACAGGCAACCTAAAGAATAGGAGACAAATTTTGCAATCTACCCATCTGACAAAGGCCTAATATCCAGAATTTACAAGGAGCTTAAACAAATTTACTAGAAAAAAAAATTACATCAGGAAGTGGGCAGAGGATATGAACAGACACTTCTCAAAAGCCCTATGCCCTCTGACTGTAGTTTTTATATTGGGCTGTGCAGTTTGACCTACAAGCCCGTAGATGGTTCTTACAGGTAAAAGCCAGCAGTGGCCAATATGGCTGGGTTTGTACTTGAATTTTTTCACTGGGAGAAACTCTTTGTTGCCTCAAGCGATGGGGTTGATTCGTGGCATGCACAGTGGTCTGAGTTCTCTGCACAGCCCCAGTGAGGCAGAGGCCAAGATGGGCTGGACCAGACCAGTCAAGCCTGCCTCCAAATCCCTCAATGGCAGGCACAAGCACCAGCAGCAAGGGAGAATTCAGTGGGTGGCCACCAAGTGACCACAGGCGTGCCTAGGAATGGATCTGGGAAATCTCTATGGCCCTGAATTCTCTGAACAAGAATGGTGGGTGGCATAAACTCCTAATCCAGTAGTGTGAGTATTCCAGATGACTGAAGATCTTCCTGAGCACAGAATGGAAAGGACCCTGCTGGACCTTGATCTATGTTAATAAAGAGTGGGGCACCTCAGGCTGCAACAAGCAGGTGCTCCAAATGCCTGGATTCCTCTCTGGTGATGGAGCAGAGAGAGCGCTGCACCACGATCTCAGGGGAGCAGGCTGGGGCATCCAGCAGTAGTATACCCAGACCATTTCTAAGTTTCCAGGCTGGCCCTGGCTGCAAGTCTCACCAGCCAGGAGAAACTGGAGCTGTAGCAACTCTCCTTCCACCCCAGGCCTGTGGCGAGACAGAACAGGATTATAGTGCCTACTGGCTGTGGAATCCCCTCTCCCACTCCAGAGCAGGTGTTTTGGTCTCTGGTCTGAGACTAAAATGTCTGTCTGGCCATGATGCTGGGTCACCAAAGAATGGCTGAGTTTGTGTGCACCTAAATGAAAAATGGCATCCTGCCCTTGGTCCTGGGTTTGGGAAAATGTCTGCAAGTTTTCCTGGTGTCTTTTTCTCATTGCATCTCCAATCCCCTCCCCAAGTTAGTTCCAGGACTTAGGAAAAACAAAATGTTTTCCCTCTTCCTGGGTTGCTTGGATCCCTAGTGAAAAGATGAGTCATAGAGGGAGGCTCTCTCTCTGACATTCTGGGACTTCGCTCCTTTTATTAGCTGGATACTGTCACAGGAGCTGTTTGCTGGCATTTTCCCTGTGTTCTGGGGTGTCCCTCATGATCCCAGTGGATTCCCACTGTCATTCTTGAATTAAAGCTCACAGAGTTGATCTTTATGCACTATTTTGCTCTTTCCAAGTGGCTAAGGCATGGTGAAAGCCTTTAATCTTCCATCTTGGAAAAAAAATACCATAAAAGAAACTTCTGTTGTAATTTATTGTGCAGGAAAAGAATGTATAGTGCGAGAATTCAGTTTAAAAATTCATATATAAATACAGATGTTAACGTAGATATATAAAATGTATGACGTATTCATTGTTTTACTCGGAATATGGTTAAATAATGGAGAGCGGAATTGAAAGTTACATACCATGCCACAGTGCTCCAAGGGTTATCTAAGAAGTTCTTCATTTTAACACTCAATTAACTCTCACAGCACTCCTGGCAGAAATTATGAACTCAATTTAAGGAAAAATGGAAGGGAAAGATAAATGAACTTTCTAGCTGCCCGAGGCTTTACCAGTCTCTGTCAAATCTTGGATTACTTAATTTTGCTGGCACCTCTTGGCTTAGTGCTAGTTGCAAAAGCATTAAGGGTAATCATCAAATAATTTGAAGGAGTAACTAATGATTGCCTATATTTGAGGAGCAGATTCTCCTATTTAAAAAAGAAATACTTCAATTCGTTATACTTCCAGGAACCTCAGTTTCATTTATAAAGTACTATTCTGATCAGAAAAAGAGATCTTTTTAAAATAACTGACAATAGAATATCTGGGAATGTTTGAAGAAGTGAATATAGATCACTAGCCTCAAAGAAAAACTTTACGGGGTGCTTCCAATTATTTTTGGGCTCTTGCAGAATTTAGAGAACAAGAGATGCACTCAAAATTATAGGTTGATGTTGAAGAACATTGATGGAGTGGAGTGACTGTTTGCCTATTAGCTTACTCCTTACACTTAGAGACCAATTAAGAACCAAGACCACTGGATTCTATCCGTTGGCAGTAACATCAGAGAAACATGTTCGGAGAAGATGTGATAATTGTCTCTATTTAGTACAAAGGATCGGTTGTTTCACTGATCTCTCGCAGTAATGCCGACAGTTACAGCCTTGCCTATACTGTCCATTTCTGGAACACATACATAAAAAACAATCTGAGCTAACTAAGTTCATTTAAGTGTTACTGACAACAGGTTCTTGACTCTCATTTAACAGAAATTGACAGGGGGCTGAATAAGTTTCCCAGCCAAAGCTTTTATTATGTGATTATATTCAAACACAAAGGGGGCAGCACGAGAGAGAAAATTATCTGGCTGGCTCTCCAAAGAGCATCAGCAGAGTAATTTTAAAGGGGATAAGAGAATGATGTTTAAGCATCTAGAGATGGGGAACTTCTGGTACTCACACAGTTGGATAACATCCTTCTTCATACTTCTTCATGTGTCCCATGTCTCATTAGTGTGTTAAATCTCCACCCCTGGGTGTAATTTTTAGTATTATAATGAAGCTAAGGTAAAGGATTGGTCATTCTTCTGGTCTGTATACATACAGGAGACAGTATTAATGTCTTTGAGTAAGATTTAAAGTGGGATCTGCTTATTTTCGTTGCCTCAAGTTCCCACAATCAGCGGGTATAGTGTCTTAAGTAAGATTTATGGTGGGGCATTGCTTATCTTAATCTCTCTAATGCCCCATTACCAGTGGGCATGGCACCTGGAGCAAGATTTATGGTCAAAGGTCTGGATGGTCTACTTGGGGTCACCAATGGTCACTAGGTCCCCACCCCCATCAGCTTGCACTAGATGTCCTTCCTTTCTTGGTGGGAGCACGAGGGTCGTTGATGGGAGGAGTTGAGTTCCATCCCGACTCTGTCTTATAAGGATATTATTTTCTAGAGTAAACTTAATGGCTCTCTGGTTCTTCTAGAACATAATGAATTTACTTAGCTTTCTTTGCATCAGGGCCGATTGTATTCGCTTTTTATTGCTACCGTAATAAATCACCACAAGCTTAGTGGTGATTAAAACAACAACATTTATTATCATACTCTTCTGGAGCCCTCTAATCCACTGTGTTCCCATATTAACAAAATTAACAAATATTTATTGATCCTCTACTATGGAAGAGACTTTATGTTAAGCAACCTGGTAAACAAAACAGACAAATATTCCTTCCCTTGTGGAGCTTGCTGTCTAGCTGTTTACATTCTTAGTAGTTAAATCTAAATTCTACAATACTGCATGCCATAGTAGAAGAAAAGCAAGACACACTTAAGGTTCTCATGAAACTTTATTACTCGTGATGCATTACGTGTCCCAGGTTCTAAAATTTCTAGTTAGGAGAAGAAGCATTGAACTTTTTGTTTTTTAATAAGATTAAAGAGGACTGTAAATGGTGAATAAAAATAACACTGAGGTTTAGTTTAGAATTTGAAAAAAATGCCGAATTGTATTTTCCCATTGATTTTATGATTAAAAAGGCAGCATATTACTCTGGAGATTAGGTTGATGGTGGAGCAGTGGCTAAGAGTACTGAGGGTGCACAGTACAGGAAATCAGGCCAGAGTCTCAGGGTGTGGGTGGACTTGTGCCTGAAGCAGTCTGAGAGGAGGGTTCGGGTAGTAGCAGCTATTGAACTCTTCCTTACTTCTTTGTTTCTTGTTTCCTTCCCAATAAGGAAACATTTCTTGTCGTAGGCCTGACACATTCAGGAATAATCTAGGTCTGTGTTATCATTTTTATACGATTTCTTCAGGCTTTAAACACAACATTGTAGAACTGAGTTTTTCTATGGAATTGACATTTCTTAAATAAATCCTGAGCTAAATTTTGGTCTCATCAATTCCTAGCTACAACTTGGATAAACCATTTATTGACTGAGTACTCAGTTTTGTGATTTATGAAATGAGGACAAGTAGGATTTTTAAGATCAAATGGCCCAGTGTGTTGAATGTTCGTGAAATTGCCTAGAGAGAAACACTGGCATAAATGTATATTTCACATATCATTTTTTCCATAAGTAACAGATGATTGGTTACAATGAAGTGGAGAGATTTTTGTCCTTACAATGTTTATATTTTCTTGCTGAATTGTGATACACTGAGATGTGTTCTCATCTAGGGGCTTGGAGCAGAGACTCTGGAACCATGTAGATTTGAACAGCATCTCTGTCATTGTCCTTCTGTGTGAAAAGTGATTAACCTCTTCATAGTTGTTTCCTCATTTATAATATGGGCATAATAATAAGCAGCTCTCTGATGTAGTTGTTGTGAGCATGGTACAGTCACACACTTCACATTATTTACATGATCTCCTTTAGCAAGTTATTTAACCTTTTAGTGGAGTTTAAAGCAAGCTTATACTGGCTCTATAAACCCATGAGAACTTGGTTTTTATATTTGCAAAAGTTCTGTAAGTCAATTGTTAAGTGGAGTAATTATTAAAATTAATTATGTAAATTTATAAGTCTATAACTATATACAAAATTTATAAATACTCAAAACTCATCACTTATCATTTTACTATTATCTATTCTGTTCAGATTATTTACATCTATTAATCTGACTAGCATAAGTAATATATAATTGTGAGGTACTGTGCACCTGTTCTCAACTCCATGTTCAGCAAAGTCATATTGGTAGCCACTTAAGCTGTTCTATTAGACTCAAGTTTTCATATTTAAGGTAATTCATACTGACTTTCTGTATGGTACCCTCTAGTTTCATCTGTGGTTCAAAGGGGCTCAGCTCAGGCTGCTGCTTCAGAGGGTGCAAGCTCTAAGCCTTGTCAGCTTCCATGTGGTGTTAAGCCTCAGGGAGCACAGAGTGCAAAAGTTGAGGCTTGGGAGCCTCCACCTAGATTTCACAAGTTGTATGAAAAATCCTGGATGTCCAGGCAGAAGCCTGCTACAGGGACAGAGCCTGCATGAAGAACCTCCACTAGGGCAGTGCAGAGGGGAAATAGTGGGGTTGGAGCCCCTACACAGGAGCACTGCCTAGTGTAATTGTGAGAAGGTCATTGTCATCCAGACCCCAGAATGGAATATCCACTGACAGCTTGCACCATACACCTGGAGCAGCCACAGACACTCAATACCAACCCATAAAAGCAGCCACAGAGACTGAACTCTGCAAGGTCACAGAGGCAGGGTTTCCTAAGGCTTTGAGAAACTACCCCTCACCTCAGTGTTCCCTGGATGTGGGATATGAAGTCAAAGGAGATTATTTTGGAGCTTTAACATTAAATGGCTGTCCTGCTGTGTTTCAGGCTTGCATGGGGCCTGCAACCCCTTTCTTTTGGCCATTTCACCTTTTTGGAATGAGAATATTTACCCAATTCCTTTATCTCCATTGTATCTTGGAAATAACTAACTTGTTTTTTATTTTACAGGCTCGTAGGCAGAAGGGACTAGACTTGTCTCAGATGAGATTTTGGGCTTTGAGTTAATGCTGGAATGAGTTAAGACTTTGGGGGACTGTTGGAAGGTATGATTGTATTTTGTAATGTGAGAAAGACAAGTGATTTTGTGGGAGGGCAGAGTCAAAATGATAGGTTTGGATTGTGTTCCCACCTAAATCTCATGTCAAATTGTAATCCCAATTGTTAGAGGTGGGAACTGATGGGAAGTGATTAGATCATAGGGGCAGAGTTCTCATAAATGTCTTGGCACCATAACGTCAGTGTCGTTCTTGTGATAGTGAATGACTGAGTTATATCCAATATCTGATAGTTTTAAAAGTGTGTAGCACCTCCCTCCTCTCTCTCTCGCTCCTGGTCAGGCCATGTAAGATGAGCCTGCTTTCCCTTTACCTTCTGCCATGACTGTAAGTTTCCTCAGGCCTCCCCAGAAGAAGCTGCTATATACTTCCTGTATGACCTCTAGAACCGTGAGCCAATTAAACTTCTTTTCTTTATTAATTACCTAATCTCAGGTATTTATTTATAGCAGTGTGAGAACAGACTAATACAAATAGTTTCACTGACCTAAAATGTTCTGTGGTTTGACTGTTTCTCTCTCCTTCTCCTCAATGTCAGATAATCCCTACTCTTTTCACATTTTCAGTTTTGCCTTTTCCAGAACTGTTATCTAGTTAGACTATTATATAGTATGTAACATTTTCAGATTGCTTTCTGTCACTTAGCAGTATCCATTTAAGTTTTCTTCATGTTTTTCAAGGCTTGATAGATTTGATTTGATTTGATTTTTTTATTACTGAGTAGTATTTCAGTGTACCAAAGTTCTTTATACAGTGATCTACTGAAAACATCTTGATTGTTTTCAGTTGTTATCAGTTATGACTAAAGCTGCTATAAACATTGATGAATTGTGTATAGGTCATAGTTATCCAAATTCATTTGGATAAAAATCAAGGAGCATAATCACTGGATTGTATGGCATGTTTGGTTTTGTAACAAACTCCCAAATTACCTTCTAAAGTGGCTAAAACATTTTGCATTCTCACTAGCAATGACAGAGAGTTCCTGTGACTCCGCGTTCTCAAAACCCTTTGTTGCTGTCAACATTTTGGATTGTATCTAATAGGTATGTAGCAATATGATATGGCATTATTTTAACTTCAATTCCCTAGTGACATAAGATGTTGAACATTTTTTTCATATGCTTATTTGCCATCTGTACATCTTCTTCAGTGAGGTATCTATTGAGAACTTTTGCCCAGTTTTTGTTTGTTTTCTTATTCTTCAGTTTTAAGTTTTTTGTATATTTTAGATGCCAATTATTTATCAGACAACTGTTTGCAAAGATTTTTTTTACCAGATGTTTCTTGTCTTTTCAATATGTTAACAGTGTTTTTGATAGAGAAGAAGTTTTTAATTTTAATGAAGCCCAATTTAACAATTTTTTTCCTAGACAGCTTTTGGTGTTGTATCTAAAGTCATCACCAAACAAAAGGTCCCCTAAATTTTCTTCTTTGTTATTTTCTGTAAGATTTATAGTTTTTAATCTTGCATTTAGAGATGTACTTTGAGTTAATTTTTGCGAAAGATGAAAAATCTGTTTGACTAGATTCACCTTTTACATGTGAATGTTAATTTTTTTTCCAGAAAAATTTGTTTAAATGACTACACTTTTAAAATTTAATTGCCTTTACTCTTGTTGAGTATATTTATGTGGACTATATTTATGTGGGTCTATTTGGGGGCTCTGTATTTTATATTTTTTATCTATTTGTCTCTAGTTTTGTTCATACTACACCATCTTAATTACTATAGCTTTATAGCAACTTTTGAAGTCTGGTGCCATTTGACCTCTGACTTTGCTCTCATTCAATATTATGCTGGTTATTCTAGGTTTCATATTTTATTTTTAATAAGAATTTCCTAACAACTCTATAATTATCCCTTTACTAGCATGAATTTTGAAGATACAGTTTCTCTCTCTAACACATTACTGTTTTTTTGTTATTGGCAATAATTTCCTCACTTCTACTCCTCTAGTGAATACAGACTCACTAAAGTGGAATAAGGGATTATATATCAGTATTATACTCTTTGCTTCTAAAACATTAAAGCTAGATTTTTTACATTGCAGTCCAAATTATAGCATCAAAGCTAATTATATATTTATATTCCTACTTTTTAATTCAAATTAAACGTTTGGCATTGAAAACAACAACATACAAATCAGAACAATCTACTAACTCAAGACATCCTAATCTGTTCATCCACATTTCATCTTCTATGAACAACTATGGTTGATATGCTTTTTACTTTCATTAACTCAACTGAAAAAGGTATTTAAATTGATCTTTTGTTATCCTATTCTTTTGAGTCTAAGACTTCTCCCTAGAATCCTTCTTACTTGTCTGAGGCTGCATTTATTTTCATTTGCCCAGAACACACATTAGGTATATTTATCTTTCTCAAACAATTGGTGCTTATAACTATATTTTCTCAGGAAGACCTTACTTTATCAATTTTTCTTCTTTCATAAATATCTCTGTTGAGATGAGATTTTAGAAAAAGCTCTATTGTTAGGAGTCCAGAAGGTTCTAAAAAATTACGAGTGTTTTAACTGAAATTATGCAACTTGTAAAAATATGAAGTGAGATGAGTGATATGGTTTTGCTATGTCCCCACCCAAATCTCATTTTGAATTATAATTCCAATAATCTCCACATGTCATGGGAGGGACCTGGTGGGAGGTAACTGAATCATTGGGGTGTTTTTCCCATGCTGTTCTCTTAATAGTGAATAAGTCTCATAAGATCTGATGGTTTAATAAAGGGCAGTTTCTCTACTCACACACTCCATTCTGCCACCCTATGAAGAAGGTGCCTTGCTTCCCCTTAGTATTCCACCATAACTGTAAGTTTTCTGAGGCCTCCCCAGCTATGCTGAACTGTGAGTCAATTAAACCTCTCTCCTTTATAAATTACCCGATCTCGGGTATTTCCTCATTGTAATGTGAGAATGAACAAATACAGTAAATTGATACTGGGTAGTGGAGTGCTGCTGTAAAACATCCAAAAATGTGGAAGCAACTTTGGAACTCATTAACAGAAAGAGGTTGGAACAGTTTTTAGGGCTCAAGACAGGAAGATGTAGGAAAGTTTGGAGCTTCCTAGAGATTTGTTGAAAGATTTTGACCAAAATGCTGATAGTGATATGGACAATAAAGTCCAGGCTAAGGTGGTCTCAGATGGAGGTGAGAAACTTATTGGGAACTCGAACAAAGGTGATTCTTGCTATGCTTTAGCAAAGAGACTGGCAGCATTTGACTCCTGCCCTAGAGATCTGTGGAAATTTGAACATGAGATAAATGAGTTAGGGTATCTGATGGAAGAAATTTCTAAGTAGCAGGGCATTCAAGATTTGACTTGGGTGCTCTTAAAAGCATTCAGTTATATTCATTCACAAAGATAAGGTTTGGAATTGGAAATTATATTTAAAAGGGAAGCACAGCATAAAAGTTCAAAAACTTTTGCAGCCTGACAATGCAGTAGAAAAGAAAAACCCATTTTCTGAGGAGAAATTCAAGCCAGCTGCAGAAATTTGCACAAGTAATCAGGAGCCAAATGTTAATTACCAAGACAATGGGGAAAATGTCTCCAGGGCAAGTCTTCACAGCAGCTTCTCCCATCACAAGTGGAGAAGCCTAGGAGGAAAAACTCATTTCATAGGCCAGGCCCAGGGCATTGCTGCATTATGCAGTTTCAAGACTTGGAGCCCTGTGTCTCAGCCATGGCTAAAACAGACTAATATACAGCTCAGGCTGTTGCTTCAGAGGGTGCAAGCCCCAAGCTTTTGCAGCTTCCAAATTGTGTTGAGCCTGCAAGTGCACAGAAGTCAAGAATTGAAGTTTTAGAACCTCAACCTAGATTTCAGAGGATGTATGGAAATGCCTGGATGTCCAGGCAGAGGTATGCTGCGGGGCACAGCCCTTACAGAGAACTTCTGCTAGCATAGTACAGAAGGGAAATGTGAAGTTGGAGCCCCCACACAGAGTCCTCAATGGGCTACTGCCAAGTGGAGCTGTGAAAAGAGGGCCACTGTCCTCCAGACCCCAGAATATTAGATCCACTGACAGCTTGCACTGCGAGCCTGGAAAAGTTGCAGACACTCAATGCCAGCCTGTAAAAGCAGCTAGAATAGGGAGCTGTACCCTGCAAAGCCACAGGGGTGGAGCTGTCCAAGACCATGGGAGCCCACTTCTTGCATCACTGGGACTTGGACGTAAGACATGGAGCCAAAGGAGATCATTTTGGAGCTTTAAGGTTTAATGACTGCCTTATTGGATTTCAGAGTTGCATGGGGCCTGTGGCCCCTTTGTTTTGGCTAATTTCTTCCATTTGGAACTGGCGTATTTATCCAATGCCTGTACCCCCATTGTATCTAGGAAGTAACTAACTTGCTTTTGATTTTACAGGCTCATAAGCAGAAGATACTTGCCTTGTCTCAGACAAAACTTTGAACTTGGACTTTTGAGTTAATGCTGAAATGAGTTAAGACTTTGGGGTACTGTTTGGAAGGCATGATTGATTTTAAATATGAAGGCATGAGATTTGCAAGGGGCCAGGGGTAGAATAATATGGTTTGGCTGTTTTCCCACCCAAATCTGATCTTGATTTGTAGCTCCCATAATCGCCACATGTCATGAGAGGGACCTGGTTGGAGGTAATTCAATCATGTGGGTAGGTTTTTCCATACTGTTCTCATGACAGTGAATAAATCTCATGAGATCTGATAGTTTTATAAAGGGCAATTCCCCACCTCACTCACTACATTCTCCTGCCCTGTGAAGAAGGTGCCTTGGTTCCCCTTTGCCTTCTACCGTGATTGTAAGTTTCCTGAGGCCTCCCCAGCCACGCTGAACTGTGAGTCAATTAAAGCTTTCTTCCTTTTAATTACCCAGTCTTGGGTATTTCCTTACAGCAATGTGAGAATGAACTAATACAACGAGGTACATGTCTAGGGAGGTAGTCACGTCACAAAGAGTGTGTTACATTCAAACCCATAATTCCCATTTTCTGTTCCATTCTTGCACTGATCAGACCTTTATGGAGATCCTGTTATTTATAAGCCCCTAAACTAGTTTTAAAGTACATAAAGATGCAACAAAGTATTTCAACTAACCCACTGTACTTGTTGGACATGATTTATACAATATCATATTAATAAGACAATATACATTCCCATTCATTGACATATATATTATTATGACTGGCCACTCGAAATGGAATGAATCTGAGAAGGTCATTCGTGGTTTTAGGTTCCTTGCTTATACATTATAGAGTTTGTGGCAACATTTGAACACTTATTCATTAAACACTTTTGCTTACCTGAATCCCACAATGCCTAAGGCTTGGGGAGAAATTTCACAAACAGGCCTCCAATACCCCATTTCATGGCACTGCAGCCTACTTATCACTGCCATTTATTAGAAGACAGGGAGTTACTGAATAGTGTACTCCTTAAGAGCAGGCAACCACATTAATTTTGTTTTTGTTGGTTTATTGTGGGGTGTTTTCTGCTGTCTTTGTTGTTGTTTTATTTGTATTTTTTTCCTTGTCTGTAGCACATTATCTACTTTATGGTTGGTGGTTAATGAATATTGAAGATATGTGTAAATAAATTGAATTGAGAAAGTGAATTCCTCTTGTCCTCATAGAAAATGCAGCTCTGGTTAGGCTTTTATGGAGGTGTGGGCTAAGAACTTCAAATTCTATCAGCTCAGCATTTTAGGGAACAGGAGACTGCTTTTCTCCACCTGCTTAATGATTTTTGTGTTACCGTGAGTACTCGATACAGAACCTAGTGTGTTAGTCCATTTTGAACTGCTATAAAGAAATACCTGAGCTGCATAATGTAAAAGAAAAGAGGTTTATTTGGCTCATGATTCTGCAGGCTGTACAAGCATGGCACAGCATCTGCTTGGCTTCTCGTGAGGGCCTCAGGAAGCTTACAGTCATGGGAGAAGGCAAAAAGAGAGTCACACGGTGAGAGAGCAAAAGAGAGAGGAGGAGGTGTGGTATCATTTAAACAACCAGCTATCCCTTGAACCTAGTGGAGTGAGAACTCAGTCATTACCAAAGAATGGCACTAAGCCGTTCATGAGGGATCCACCCCCATGACTCAAGCACCTCCCACTAGACCTCCTTCCAACATTGGGGATCACATTTTAATGTGAGATTTGGCTTGAACACGAGATTTGGTTAGAGATTTGCATCCAAACTATATCACACGGGCATTGATATAAGCTGTAGGAGATGCCCTGCCTCTGTGGTGAAGATTGCTTGATGCATATGGGGCATATGGTTAGGTTTCTCTTAAAAGGAGCAGTATATTGAAGATTGTGCTATCTTGTACTCCTTCAAAATCTAGATATGTGAAAGAATAGAACATGTCAGAATGTAAGCTGCACTAAGGCAGAGACATTTTTCATTTTCTTTCACTAGTGCATCCCAAAAACCTACAGCATCTCCTAGTACATATTTGCTTCTCAATGTATAATTATTGAATTTCAAATACAAACTAGTGTTGGAGGAAGGGTGAAGAGGCAGGACGCATACAACTAAACATATAAATTCAGTTCTGAAGAAGCAAAACATAAGTAGTTGTCTATATCATCTTGTGTATTCCCATCTCTAATGACTCAGGTATTATTTTTTTAAATTCCTGCTCACATTTTCTTTTTATATGTGTCTTCTGAATGATCATATTTTGGGCTTTGTGATTTCAATACATAACAGTTGTTTGAGATTAACACTTGTCCATTAACAAGATGAAATGCAAACTCTGATATTCAAAGTACTGTATAATCTGACATCCATATCCCTTTTTCAGATTTTCTTTTATTTCTCCTTAATAGCGCCTACCTATTTTAGAGAGAATTAATGACCATCAGCTTTCTTTTTTTTTTTTTTTTTTGAGTACGGAGTCTCGCCGTCGCCCAGGCTGGAGTGCAGTGTCGCCATCTCGGCTCACTGTAGGCTCTGCCCCCCGGGTTCACGCCATTCTCCTGCCTCAGCCTCTTGAGTAGCTGGGACTACAGGCGCCCACCACCTCACCCGGCTAATTTTTTGTACTTTTGGTAGAGACGGCGTTTCACCATGTTAGCCAGGATTGACCATCAGCTTTCTAAGTGCACCTCTGATTTATCCCAGCCTTGTTTGCAGTTGTCAGGTCCTGTGATCACTTCTGCCCAAATACCTGTGAGTCATATACTTCAGATAACGTATCTATAAGAAAGTAGACAGCATGAACTGCATCAGACTCACTATGAGTGACAAATAAAGCATTATTGTGTTATTATTGAAATTTTCATCTTTTCTATTATAGTATCATCTACCCTGATCTAAACAACATCCATCATCAAGCTATGTGTTATCAATCTGGAGGCACCCGATTTTCTTTTTTTTTTTTTTTTTTTTTTTTTTTGAGACGGAGTCTCGCTCTGTCGCCCAGGCTGGAGTGCAGTGGCGGGATCTCGGCTCACTGCAAGCTCCGCCTCCCGGGTTCACGCCATTCTCCTGCCTCAGCCTCCCAAGTAGCTGGGACTACAGGCGCCCGCCACTACGCCCGGCTAATTTTTTGTATTTTTAGTAGAGACGGGGTTTCACCGTTTTTTAGCCGGGATGGTCTCGATCTCCTGACCTCGTGATCCGCCCGCCTCGGCCTCCCAAAGTGCTGGGATTACAGGCGTGAGCCACCACGCCCGGCCCCGATTTTCAATATTTCTGCTTATCAGACACTGTCTTCTTCTTTAAGGGCCAAGTCCAATCTCACCAGTTCTTAGAAGACTTTTCTAATCATATCATATCAAAGGGAAGGGTTGATCTACTTTTCATTTCTTTAACATTTACTGTCTATAGTCTAAATTTTGTCTTGAATGACTATTTGCCTCTGAGTGTTTATGTAACTTGTCTATCAGCTATATCTCATGCCCTTGCATCTTATGCTACTGTGTGGCTCCCAGGGTACATAAGATATGATAATTGCTTAAAGGTAGTGATTCATAACTGTAAGTTGGAAATAATCATTTTTATTGAAAATGTACAATATATTAAGGCCAAGTAAAAGTCAGATGTTTCTGTTACATAACTTTAATATAGAAATTGCTTCTATCTAAAGCTATGTTTATTATACTTTTAATGTTTCCTTATTCAAGTGAATTGAAATGATATAAACAATTATGCTAAGTGTTAAAAATAACATTAGTTATTGCTTTCCTATATGCAATTCAGTGGGTAATTTAAATGATAATCTAGTGGTAGTCTCTAGAGGGAATTAAATATCTGTAATGATACTAAAAATTAGAAAAAGAAATAATACCTCTCAATCATAAATTTTCAAGTGTGTTATAATCATCCCAAATTCACCACTGTGGGTATAGAAACCTTTGCTAGAATTTCTGTCTAAGAATGCAGTAGTAGTTAAATAATTTTCAAAGTTAACTCTAATCATCTTCACCTCATATGTAATTCAGTAATCAATCCACATACCTTTTCCAGGACATTTTTAAGGGACAAGATTATCTATAATACTGGAGCAAGTTTATCTCATCAGCTACTAGACAAAAAGGTTGAAAATTACTAATATTAAAGTGAGCTATTTTCTGTAGATTCTAATTTGAGAGTACTAAATCCTTTTGAACTTATAAGTTTTTATCTATGAAATTAGTGAATTTTGCTCTCAGCCTAACCCAACTGTTTTATACATATTAAGCTGATGCAAATCTTTATTTTTATTAATACTCTTTCCTGAACAGATTAGAAACCTTAAAGCTGGCCCATTGGGGAGGCTTCTTATCTGGGCAGGCACAGATACAGCCAGTAGAAAGGGAAGAGAGGTGCGCCCCTCTCGATCCATGGGCTCACCCCTCCTGTGTAAGCCTCTGAAAACTAGGCCATATTTTACTTCTCACCATTACACCTTGTGATTTTGTAAAATGAGTCAGACAGAAAACACTGATGCAGCCCTGTGATAGCCCTGCCGTGGTCTATTTGTTCTTGACCAGTAAGGAGCCTTGCTTTGAGTATATTTTTAAGTATGAATCATTTTCCCAATAAATGGTAGAAACTGCTAACTAGAGATTTACTCCACTATAAAACCTTGCTCTGAAAAGCCAAGTAAAAGTCAAATTTTATTTTAAATGCACTTGGAAAGCGATCTATGTGGATGGATAGATTTTCAGCTAATGCTTTTGCAACATCAATGGCTGTCTTATAAATGAAACATTTTCTAAATAGGCTTTTCGAAAAGCAAACACTGACAAATGAATTTCCAAGAGCCTATGAGAGTTGCAGTTCTTTTCTTTGTATATTCCTAGTATTTATTTGGCAACATAAAATATACATTTACTTCTTTTCCTTTCAAGACTCGTCACAACAAACATACCTCATCGAAATATTTATTTTTTTATTTTCACAAGTCACTATTACAATGTTTTGAAAAAAAGGCTGCTGAAGTTTAGTAATGATATTAAATATTTAGGGGTGTTATGCCACTGTGGAATCAGTGTCAGTGATAAAGAGGTCTCAGTTATGCTTGCCAGGGACTACTTGCTAATCAAAAGGAGTTTTTAATCAATGATCTTGAGCTTCACTGTCTTTAAGGATAGAGATGGGAAAAGAGCTATTTTTGCAGTGTGCACCAATAAGCATGGCCTTTATAGTTAAGAAAATCTTAATTTTCCTTTTTGAATCAATCATATTATCACGATATTACTGAAGCATTTAAGAGTAATAGTCTTGTAAATTACTTCTGAAGGAAAAATTGAGGTAGAGTTCACTTTGAAGTCCATATGAAAAAAGATGAACACATTGACTGTAGAAATTTCCTGCAAAATTATATAATCAATATACAAAATTGTATAATCTATAGTTTTCTAAGGAAATTTAAACTACTAAAATGTATACATCTTTCTGAGTTCATCTGCTTCGCTATGATAATGATCACTATTAACAGAAAGTCAATGTTCTGTACTTAAGTGTGAGTGCTCTGAAGGTAGACTAGGTTTGAACATTAGCTTGATTACTTGTTAGATGTGTAAACTGGAGCTAGATTAACCAAATATCAATTGTCCATTTTGGGTTCTTAGAGACCTATTGACAAATTGTGGTTCCTTTATAAGTAGTTTGACCAAATTTCCTATCAGATAAATAAAATAAAGACAGGCTAACGGGTACACTGGGGCTTGGCATGAAAGAAAAATGTCTATTAACTCAAGCATGTTGTGAGTCATAAAGAAAGAGATTCTACATAAAGCGAAGATGAGAAGAAAACACATGGATGTTAGGAATCTCAAAATCTGCTGTAAACCAGTAAGCCCATTCCTTAATATTCACCTTAGAGAAATAAAAAGTTACACTTGCACAAAAATCTCTACACAAATGTTGGTATCAGCTCTATTCATAATTGCTACGTGCTGGGAAGAGCCCATATGTTCTTCAATATCTGAATGAATAAACAAGCTATGGTATATCCATACAATGAAATACTACTTAGCAGTTAAAAGGAACACACATTAGTACATACAGCAATGTAGACGAATCTCAAATACACCATGGTGAGTAAAAGAAACCAGTCTCAAAATGTTATATATTTCATGTATGATTTCATTTATAGGACATTCTAGGAAAGGCAAAGCTGTATGAACAAAGAACAGGTCAGTAGTTTCCACATGCTAGGGATAGAAGAGGAATTAACTATGAAAAGATAGCATAAGGACAATTTGAGAAGTGAAGAAAGTGTTCTATTTCCTGATTGTGATTTTTTGCATGAGTCTATGTATGTGTTAAAACTCAGAACTGTATACCAAAAAAGTTACTACATGTAAATTTCAGAAATAACACAATTTATTTATGGAATAATATATAAAAATGGGGGATAATTGTTCATATTTTTACTACAATATGCTTTAAGTGAAAAAGATAGTGTAAAAACCCATGCTTACAAATGATCTGAATTTCACAAAATAAATACATGTACAGGTGAAGAGAAAAATGGCCCTCTGGAGACAATTTTACCCATTTCGAAGTGGGGGCTCTTCTCGGGACTTTCAAAATAATGCAGTGACATTGGATTCACTCTGTCAGCTTACCATAAGCACTTGCTTTGTGAGAAAGTGAGAGAGAAAGAGACAGAGGAGGGCAGAAGGGAGAGAAAATATGAATGTAGATAACTGACAGCTTTACAAATTTGTAACTTGTTTACATTTATTCCTCTTATATATATATGGATGGATTGCCTAGTAGGTACCACAGAATAAATGTAAAATATTATTTATTGAATTTAATTTTCATAGTTCTATAATATAATTTACATGAAGAAAACAGATTCAGAAAATTGTGGAGTTTTCTCAAGGGAGTAAGTGATCGTGCTTCCTTATGATATGGTTACTTCTTTGATACCCAAAGTTAATACTTCTTTTTTCACAGATTGAAAATTCTCAATGGCTGTTTGTTAGGCTGAATCAAAACAAGGTGCTTGCTTACAACATTTTGTTTGGTATGGAGGGGGCCTATTGCTAGCCATACCGCTGTCAGATTTGAATCTGTTCAGTTTTGCTCATTGTCTTTTTGGACTCAATTCTTGTCAGCCTTAGTAACTATAGAGTGATATGGAAGCTGTAAAACTAACTCAGAAACAAGTAATGGTGATTTAGTCTGGAGGTTTCCTGGATTCCTCAGAAAGGTGGGTCAACATCATGAACAGTGAAGGAAACATTATGGATGAAAACCTTCAAGTATAATATGAGAGCAGTAGAGAAATTCTCTGATGTTAGCCATAGCAAGAACTCAAGAGGTAGAGAAGGTGTATTTCTGAAAAGGAGAAATGTTATTGGTCAAGGAATGATAGGTTGTATTTTGCTATTCAACACTTTTTGAGGTAATAGAATACCCTAGACAGAGACTACACAAATAAATGCCCTTTTGTGGAAATTATAGTCAAAGATAACTTTGTAGAGAATTAGAAGAAAGATAATTCTAAGTTTTTAGTCTGTGCCTTGAGAAGTGAAATTCAGAGCTAACAGGTATTGTTGACATGTATGACAGTCATCTGCCGTATTTTTATGATATTAAGCTGTTAATTTTAGCTGAATAAACTATGTGATTTTAAGGTTTATTTTTCAAACTCTCCCCAGTTAGTCATGTAAACATAAACATTGACATCCTGAGAGCTATAGGCACACAGGCATTAAATATGATGTGTTTCTGGTATCCAATTTCCACTTAAGGACAGTGTCATTTGAAAGAATCTTTTGTTCCCCATGTACAATGAATAGACTTTTGCCTAGGCAGAAAATGACAGAAAACATAAATTAACTTTAGGAAGAAAATTATTTAACATCCCTGTGACTTACTTTCTTCTATAAAATGAAGATGATGAAAGAAAGTACCAATCACCTATGGTAGTTGTGAGGGTTAAATGAGTTAATATATGTAAGGCAGATAGGATAATATTTGTTATATTTTAGTACTATATGAAGGAGCACTACCATTATTATTACCTGAGAGCAGTTGTTATGATGGGAGCCAACTGAGAAGCCGTTGAGAAAAGGAGGACTAAGTGACGGTTTTAGAAGACGGGTTAACATTAGCTGAACAGTTACCATTAGCTGAACAGTTACTGACAGGCAGACAGTAAGGCTCAAACTTATATTCATTTCACTTATTACACATGCATACACACACAGACACACACATGCATACACACACAGACACACACACAAATAATAAACCTCACAAATCCTAGGAGAAGAATAGACATAAAATATTAGAAAATGTAAAAATAACTTTAAATGGTCATATTTTTCTGAGTAGAGAATTATTTGAAATTAATCTCAAGGCTTCTTTAAAACAATAAAAAATATATTTTCATAACTCATAAATGTGGTTAGAGATGTATTCTCCATTAACTTTGACAACATGTTGTCTTTTGAGAAAAGGTGTTTGTTCCCATTTTACTAGTATGTTTTCACTATTCGCTATTTTTTTTTTTTTTTTTGAGATGGCATCTCACTCTGTTGCCCAGGCTGGAGTGCAATGGCGCGATCTCGGCTCACTGCAACCTCCACCTTCTGGGTTCAAGTGTTTCTCCTGCCTTAGCTTCCCAAGTAGCTGGGATTACAGGCACCCACTGTCATGCTTGGCTAATTTTTGTATTTTTATAGAGACTAGGTTTCACCATGTTGGCCAGGCTGGTCTTGAACTCCTGACCTCAGGTCATCCACCTGTCTCAACCTCCCAAAGTGCTGGGATTACAGGTGAGAGCCACTGCCTCTATTCACTATTAATATCATCTTAAAATCATCTTAAAAATGGAAAGCTGGCCAGGTGCAGTAGCTCACACCTGTAATCCCAGCATTTTGGGAGGCCAAGGTGAGAGGATCACTTGAGCCCAGGAGTTTGAGATCAGCCTGGATAACAAAGTACGACCTTGTCTCTGCAAAAATGTTAATGACTTAGCTAAGCTGTGGTAGTGCATACCTGTGGTCCGAGCTACTTGGGAGGCTGAGGTGGGAGCCCAGGAATTCAAGGTTGCAGTGAGCTATGATCAAGCCACTGCACTATAGCCTGGGTGACAAAGCAAGACCCGGTCTCAACAACAAAACAAAAACAAAAAATGAAGTTTCCCTGAAAGATTATTTTTCAGCTCTCCTCTCAGAGTCCTTTAAAAGGAAAATTTTCACTTCCTTTATAAATAAATGAGGAATAAATTGCTACCAAAAATGTATGGAAGTTTGAGAAAGGAGGAAACAGGATGGAAGTGGAATGTAGTTGACTTCAGAAGAAACGATTGAATCTGCACCTAGTATAATGAACAGTTTTCTCAATCTCTTAGATTTCAAGTGAATCCAGAGTCACACGGGATAAAAGCAACTTCAAAGAGTAATAGCTACAGGAAAAAAAAAAAAATCAATTAAAGCAGCAATATAAAAGTTCGCATAAAGCAAATGAAATTTTGATCTGAACAAAAGACTTTGAGGTTAATTTAAGTAAAATTAAAACTCATCAACTAAACAAGAGCTGTGACCTTTACCATCTCTATAAAGCTAAAGGGAGAAGAGTTTAAATAAACAGCTTAATTTGAGATCTAATTTCAGTTTTAACGTGATGTTTGTTACAGAGGACTTATGAAATTATAATGTATTTCCTATTTGGATGAGAACTACTTTTAAGTGGGTAAGGAAAAGGAGGCTCGGGAAAACAGTATATCCTAGCCAGAATGTGAAGCAATAGAGTTAGAGGGAATTGTTTATTATTAGAGTGGTCAAATATTTCTGAACCTGATAAGGTTAACAAACCCTTGCAAGCCACATTTCTTGTTAAGTATCTCACTGGTAACTCCTGCTGTCTTTCTCAGGCTCACCTTCTTCCGTTCTTTCTAGAAAAATGTAATGTTTTGAGCACAACTGATTGTCAACTAATCCGTCACGATTTTTAAATTTCAAGTGATTTTAAATTCTAATTTAATGAAAATCAGTGAATTATTTGGTTTTACTACCAGCTACTTGGGAGGCTGAAGCAGGAGAATCGCTTGAACCCCAGAGGCGGAGGTTGCAGTGAGCTGAGATCATGCCACTGCACTCCAACTTAGGTGACAGAGTGCGACTCCATCTCAAAACAAACAAACAAAACAATGGTATTTCTGCATATTTTATCCTTTTGCACAAGTCAGCATAGTATTTTGTTTCCTAATGCCAAATTTGCCTTTTTATTCAATTTGACCCAATTTCCTTCAGACACTGAGTTTCTTTATCTAAGCCTCCACAAGTACAGAATAGGCATCTACTTACTGTTGTTTGAATGGTACAAAGGACTTGCTCACTCCAAATAGTTCATGCACAAGTCACCATGTGACTCTCCCGGCCAGGTTAGAAGCTCTCAGTACTAGAATAACTAAATGGGTTTGGCAATACTAACGATAGCAGAACCTCAAAAAATGCCACTGTTAAAAAGCATGCATAAAATTATAGAGAAAAGACCTGGAGATTTTAATTCGCTTCCTCTGTTAGGAAACAAGCACTGCTTATATATTCAGCTAATAGTCATCTTGAAAGTCAATAGAGGCCAGGTGCAGTGGCTCACACGTGTAATCCTAGCACTGTGGGAGGCCAAGGCAGGAGAACTGCTTCAGCCCAGGGGTTCCAGACCAGCCTGGGCAACACAGTGAGATCTTGTCTCTATTAATAATAATAATAATAACACATAAAAATAATGAAAGTCAAATCTATAGAGAAGCTAAGTCAAAGAAAATGGAAATATTTCACTCAGAAAACCTGTGCAGTTAGTGTGTACAAGTCCTATTGGATGTGAATGGAAGGAGAGGAACATATAAAGTGAATTAAATAGAATGAACCTAATGAGGAATCTCTTGTAAGACTTCCTTGAGAGACACTGTAGAGTGCTGAGTTCACGTATCTCATTTCATATTTTAGATATGACACCTCAAATATGAGATTGGGGGAGGAAAGTCTGGAGGTACAGGTAGTTTTAAAAACATTTAATGACAGTCTGTGAGGTAGAAGATCCACTGTTAGGTATTACAGATTCAAACATGAATATATATAGTTATTGATATCAAGGAGATAATGATCTAGTGGGGTAGAATATTTTATTAAGTAGTAAACAGCACCATGTAAAAGTACAATTTAACAGAGTAGATTACAATGCTATAGAATTTAGGGAAAATGCTCATTAATTATGTTTGGAAAGATCAAGAAATTTTCACAGAATAAAATTTCAGACAAATGATGTTGAATTTAATGGTAATTTGCTAGGAAAACAAGAAAAGAGGTGCATTCAAGAGGGTACATGTAAGAATGAGAAAACAGTGTGTGTTCTGGGAAGAATGAGTCACTTTATATTACGGAGAGTAGAGGTTAAGGATAGGAACAGTGGTGAAAAATGAGGTTGGCTGGGTAGATTAGAACTATTAATAGTTTGTATAGAGTCCAGCGTTCTGCATATAATTTGTGGTAAGTAATTTTTTAAAGCACAGGTGTGACAGAAGCAGATTTTTATCCTGTAGAAAAACATGTTAAGAGAGTGCCAAAGGGTACCTTAAAGGGATAAGAAAGTAAAAGAAAATATAGAGATGGAAACCAAATTCTCAATTCACAGAATTGCCTAGATCTGCCTCAGAAAGTGTCCTTAAGTATTTTTTCCCAGTCTTAATCAGTTATTTCTTGAAATAATAAGATTTTACTGGTATAGTAAAGAAAAAGTATATATTTAGATATACTGTGTCTAATTTTTATATCTGCTTAGGTTCTCATGTGTTTCCAGCTGTTATAATATGTTTAAATGACAGTTATTTTTATTGCTGTTTTTATTATATATTAAACATTAAAATATTCACTATGGTTGAAAGTATTTTAATACACCAAACCATTTTAATACACCAACAAGCATATCTAATAGTAATATTTTCCGTAATTAAAAGTACATACAGAAAACAAAGAAACTTTTTTTTTTAGAAAGTTGAATTTCTGGCATATTCTGTACCAAAAGTATAAATATGCTATTTGAAAGTGAAACAAACAATATAAAAATTAAAATAGAAGGTTAGGAATGTAGTCCATGCTACTTCAAAGTGTAATTTTGATATAAAGTCCAGATAAATTTCTTTCCTTTTGCATTTGTACAGAATGAAAATTAGCACATTAGCAAGAATATGAAAAGTTGTCTGGGAACAAAACTAATATGGTAAATCAGCAATTTACAAATATATCCAAGATAAGCAAAAGGAAGACAAGAATAAATTTACAAACCTCAAGCATTCTTCTTGTTAATAACATCTCATCATGAAATTGACACTATTGGCTGAGAAATGCCTACAGAGAAACAGAGAAATGTGCACCTGGGTTAAGTTAAGAAGATACTCTTTGATACATTATGGTGTTTAAATAGAGATTTTAATTAGGTCATTTTAAAATAATTTGCTGTATTAGTTTCTTATTACTGCTGTAACAAATTACTAGAAACTTAGTACTAAAAACAATACAAATTAACTTCTGTTCTGTGAAAGACACTATCAAATGAGAAGACAAGCGGTTGTCTGAGAGAGAACATTAACAAAAGAAAGACAATGTATTAGTTCATTTTCATATTGCTATGAAAAAATGCCCAAGACTGGGTAATTTATAATGAAAAAGAGGTTTAATGGACTCACAGTTTCACTGGCTAGGGAGGCCTCACAATCATGGCAGGAGGCAGAGAAGGAGCAAAGACATGCCTTACATGGTGGCAGGCAAGAGAGCATGTGCAGGGGAACTGCTCTTTATGAAACTGTCAGATCGGCCAGGCACCCTTTATAAAACCATCAGATCGGCCAGGCACAGTGGCTCACGCCTGTAATCCTAGCAATTTGGGAGGCCAAGGCAGGCTGATCAACTGAGGTCAGGATTTTGAGACCAGCCTGACCAATATGGTGAAACCTAGTCTTTACTAAAAATACAAAAATTAGCCAGGCGTGGTGACATGCACCTGTAATCCCAGCTATTCAGGAGGCTGAGACAGGAGAATCTCTTGAACCCAGGAGGCAGAGGTTGCAGTGAGCTGAGATCGCACCATTGCACTCCAGCCTGGGCAACAAGAGCAAAACTCCATCTAAAAAGAAAAGAAGAGGAGGTTCCAAGATGGCCGAATAGGAACAGCTCCAATCTGCAGCTCCCAGCATGAGCGACGCAGAAGATGGGTGATTTCTGCATTTCCAACTGAGGTACCAGGTTCATCTCAATGGGGCTTGTCAGACAGTGGGTGTAGCCCACGGAGCAGGATGGGGCATTGCCTCACCTGGGAAGCACAAGGGGTCGGGGAATTCCCTATCCTAGCAAAGGGAAGCCATGACAGATGGTACCTGGAAAATCGGGACACTCCCACCCTAATACTGAGCTTTTTCAATGGCCTTAGCAAATGTCACACCAGGAGATTATATCCCTGGCCTGGCTTGGAGGGTCCCACACCCATGGTGCCTCGTTCACTGCTAGCACAGCAGTCTGAGATCGAACTGCAAGGTGGCAGTGAGGCAGGGGGAGGGACGTCTGCCATTGCTGAGTCCTGAGTAGGTAAACAAAGCAGACAGGAAGCTAGAACTGGGTGGGGCCCACCGCAGCTCAAGAGGCCTGCCTGCCTGTGTAGACTCCACCTCTGGGGGCAGGGCATAGCTGAACAAAAGGCAGCAGAAACTTCTGCAGACTGAAACGTCCTTGTCTGACAGCTTTGAAGAGAGTAATGCTTCTCCCAGCACAGAGTTTGAGAACAGGCAGAGAACAGGCAGACTGCCTCCTCAAGTGGGTTCCTGACCTCTGAGTAGCCTAACTGGGAGACACCTCCCAGTAGGGGCACACTGACAGCTCATACAGCCGGGTGCCCCTGTGAGATGAAGCTTCCAGAGGAAGGATCAGGCAGCAACATTTGCTGTTCTGCAATATTTGCTGTTCTGCAGCCTCCACTGGTGATACCTAGGCAAACAGGGTCTGGAGTGGACCTCCAGCAAACTCTAAGAGACCTGCAGTTGAGGGTCTGGACTGTTAGAAGGAAAACTAACAAACAGAAAGGACATCCACACCACAACCCCATCTGTACGTCACCATCATCAAAGACCAAAGGTAGATGAAACCACAAAGATGGGGAGAAATCAGAGCAGAAAAGCTGAAAATTCTAAAAATCAGAGTGCCTCTTCTCCTCCAAAGGAACACAGCTCCTCCCAAGCAACGGATCAAAGCTGGACAGAGAATGACTTTGACGAGTTGAGAGGAGAAGCCTTCAGACAATCAGTAATAACAAACTTCTCCGAGCTAAAGGAGGATGTTCGAACCCATTGCAAAGTAGCTAAAATCCTTGAAAAAGGATTAGATGAATGGCTAACTAGAATAAACAGTGTAGAGAAGTCATTAAATGACCTGATGGAGCTGAAAACCATGGCGTGAGAACTACGTTACACATGCACAAGCTTCAGTAGACAATTTGATCAAGTGGAAGAAAGGGTATCAGTGATTGAAGATTAAATGAAACACATGAAGTGAGAAGAGAAGTTTAGAGAAAAAAGAGAAAAAACAAATGAACAAAGCCTCCAAGAAATATGGGACTATGTGAAAATCTACATCTGTTTGGTGTACCTGAAAGGGATGGGGAGAATGGAACCAAGTTGGAAAACACTCTTCAGGATATTATCCATGAGAACTTCCCCAATCTAGCAAGGCAGGCCAACATTCAAACTGAGGAAATATAGAGAATGCCACAAAGATACTCCTCGAGAAGAGCAACTCCAAGACACATAATTGTCAGATTCACCAAAGTTGAAATGAAGGAAAAAATGTTAAGGGCAGCCAGAGAGAAAGGTCAGGTTGCCCACAAAGGGAAGCCCATCAGACTAACAGCAGATCTCTTAGCAGAAACTCTACAAGCCAAAAGAGAGTGGGGGCCAATATTCAACATTCTTAAAGAAAAGAATTTTCAACACAGAATTTCATATCCAGCCAAACTAAGCTTCATAAGTGAAGGAGAAATAAAATCCATTACAGACAAACAAATGCTGAGAGATGTTGTCACCACCAGGCGTGCCTTACAAGAGCTCCTGAAGGAAGCAGTAAACATGGAAAGGAACAACCGGTACCAGCCACTGCAAAAACATGCCAAATTGTAAAGAGCATCAATGCTAGGAAGAAACTGCATCAACTAACAAGCAAAATAACCAGCTAACATCATAATGACAGGATAAAATTCACACATAACAATATTAACCTTAAATGTAAATGGATTAAATGCTCCAATTAAAAGACACAGACTGGCAAATTGGATAGAGTCAAGACCCATCAGTGTGCTGTATTCAGGAAACCCATCTCACGTGCAGAGCCACACATAGGCTCAAAATAAAAGGATGGAGGAAGATCTACCAAGCAAATGGAAAACAAAAAAAGGCAGGGGTTGCAATCCTAGTCTCTGATAAAACAGACTTTAAACCAACAAAGATCAAAAGAGACAAAGAAGGCCATTACATAATGGCAAAGGGATCAATTCAACAAGAAGAGCTAACTATCCTAAATATATATGCACCCAATACAGGAGCACCCAGATTCATAAAGCAAGTCCTTAGAGACCTACAAAGATACTTAGACTCCCACACAATAATAATGGGAGACTTTAACACCCCACTGTCAACATTAGACAGATCAACAAGACAGAAAGTTAACAAGAATATCCAGGAATTGAACTCAGCTATGCACCACACAGACCTAATAGACATCTACAGAACACTCCACCCCAAATCAACAGAATATACATTCTTCTGAGCACATCACACTTATTCCAAAATTGACCACATAGTTGGAAGTAAAGCACTCCTCAGCAAATGTAAAAGAACAGAAATTATAACAAACTGTCTCTCAGACCACAGTGCAATCAAACTAGAACTCAGGATTAAGAAACTCACTCAAAACTGCTCAACTACATGGAAACTGAACAACCTGCTCCTGAATGACTACTGGGTACATAATGAAATGAAGGCAGAAATAAAGATGTTCTTTGAAACCAATGAGAAGAAAGACACAACAAGATGTTCTTTGAAACCAATGAAAACAAAGACACAACATACCAGAATCTCTGGGACACATTTAAAGCAGTGTGTAGAGGGAAATTTATAGCACTAAATGCCTACAAGAGAAAGCAGGAAAAATCTAAAATTGACACCCTAACATCACAATTAAAAGAACTAGAGAAGCAAGAGCAAACACATTCAAAAGCTAGCAGAAGGCAATAAATAACTAAGATCAGAGCAGAACTGAAGGAGATGGAGACACAAAAAACCCTTCAAAAAATCAACGAATCCAGGAGCTGGTTTTTTGAAAAGATCAACAGAATTGATAGATAGCTAGCAAGACTAATAAAGAAGAAAAGAGAGAAGAATCAAATAGATGAAATAAAAGATGATAAAGGGGATATCACCACTGAAACCACAGAAATACAAACTACCATCAGAGAATACTATATACACCTGTATGCAAATAAACTAGAAAATCTAGAAGAAATGGATAAATCCCTGGACACCTATATTCTCCCAAGACAAAACCAGGAAGAAGTTGAATCCCTGAATAAACCAATAACCGGTTCTGAAATTGAGGCAATAATTAATAGCCTACCAACCAGAAAAAGTCCAGGCCCAGACGGATTCACAGCCGAATTCTACCAGAGGTACAAAGAGGAGCTGGTACCATTCCTTCTGAAACTATTCCAATCAATAGAAAAAGAGGGTATCCTCCCTAATTCATTTTATGAGGCCAACATCATCCTGATACCAAAGGCTGGCAGAGACACAACAAAAAAAGAGAATTTTAGACCAATATCCCTGATGAACATCCATGCAAAAATCTTCAATAAAATACTGGCAAACAGAATCCAGCAGCACATCAAAAAGCTTATCCACCACAATCAAGATGGCTTCATCCCTGGGATGCAAGGCTGGGTCAACATACGCAGAACAATAAACATAATCCATCATATCAACAGAACCAAAGACAAAAACCACATGATTGTCTCAATAGATACAGAAAAGGGCTTCGACAAAATGCAACAGCCCTTCAAGCTAAAAACTCTCAATAAACTAGGTATTGATGGGACATATCTCAAAATAATAAGAGCTATTTATGACAAATTAGGTAGGTAGGCCTACCTCTGGGTCCACAAACGTGTAAGAGGAAATAGAAAGGGAAAAACAGAGATGACAGTGTGAGAAGGACTTTGCCAAATGGCACTGGCTTTAAAGATGGAAGAAGGCAGTCATAAGTCAAGGAAAGTGGTCTCTAGAAGCTGGAAAAGGCAAATAAGCAAACTGTCCCATAGAGATTCCAGAAAGGAAAGCAGCCCTCCTGACACCTTAATCTTGGCCCAGTCAGGCCCTTGATCTTAGCCATGTCAGACTCTGATCAGCAGAACTTCACAATAATGAATTGTGCTATTTTAAGCCATTAATTTTTAGTAATTTGTCACAGCAGCAATAGAAAACTAATATTCTAAGCATCGAAGAATTTAATTGAATCTAGTAAATTGTTTATAGGGTTCCCCAGAGGGTTTACGCAATCCAGGGCATACCTTCTCTTTTCTCATGGCTTTCTCTTATTTTTTTCTGTTCCTGTTTCTTGACTTTTATACTTTCTTCTTCATTGCTCCAGTAGCTACAAATTTCCACCTAAATGTCAAGCAGCTTCCTCTTACTCTGAAGTCTTGGTGTCACACAATACCTATGCCACTGAGGGCCATGTGTTCTACTTAAGCAGTTATTCAAGTATTTGTTGCAGATCTGACACTCTCCATTTGAGGAATCCCAGTCCCCACCCATATGGCACACAATTTCTCCATCATGTTTTTTTTAAATTACTAAATAAAATTAAACTTTAATTTAAGTAAACTTTTGATTTTAATGTCACTCCTCCGCTCAAAATCCTGCAGCTTCACTTGGAGTAAAGTTAAAGTCCTTGAAATGGTCAACATGATCTATGTGATCTAGCTTCCTATGACATCTCCCATATCCTCTCCTACTACTCTCACCATTTCCTACCCAGCCCCAGCCATACCAGCCTCCTTGTGGCTATGTAAACATGCCAGGCAAGCTCGCTGTGACACTTTACTCTAGTTTTTCCCTCTGTCTGAAACATTCTTCCTCAAGATATTGCTTGGTTAACTCCATTGTGTCTTTCAATTTTTTGCTGAAATCACCAGGTCAATGAGACCTACCTATCCTGACATTTTTAGTTGGCTCTCAGTCACCCTTTCTAAACCTGTTTACCAAAATTTTATTTTTCTATATTATTGGGTTGTTGCAAAAGTAATCATGGTTTTTGCCATTACTTTTAATACTTACAAATTTTTAACATATACATGATGTTTTTGTTTATTAATTTTATGTTTATTGTTAGTTTCCCCTTGCTGAATGTAGTCTTTATTTTATCACCTTAAGCAATGCTTAGAACATTTGCTCATTTGCCAAAGGTAAGGCATCACTATAAGTATTATCCATGTAGAGTTTTTGCAAATTAGAAAACTGGCTAATGGAACCAAAAAAGAGCCCGCATTGCCAAGACAATCCTAAGCCAAAAGAACAAAACAGGAGTCATCACACTGACTTCAAACTATACTACAAGGCTACGGTAACCAAAACAGCATGGTACTGGTACCAAAACAGAGATATAGACCAATGGAACAGAATAGAGCCCCCAGAAATAATACCACACATCTACAACTATCTGATCTTTCATAAACCTGACAAAAACAAGAAATGGGGAAAGGATTCCCTATTTAATAAATGGTGCTGGGAAAACTGGCTAGCCATATGTAGAAAGCTGAAACTGGATCCCTTGCTTACACCTTATACAAAAATTAATGCAAGATGGATTAAAGACTTAAATGTCAGACCCAAAACCATAAAAACCCGAGAAGAAAACCTAAAAAAAAAATTCTCTCTTCCTAGACATGATAAACTTGAGACTAACTGCTAAGGACTTAATTGCACCCCCTTCTTACCCTCAGTTAATATGTTGAATTCCTAGTTACCCAACATGACTGTATTTGGAGATAGGGCATTCAAAGGGATAATAAAGGTTAAATTCAGTCATAAGGGTGGGGACCTAATCCAATACAACTGATGTTCTTATAAGAAGAGAGAGACACCAGGAATGTTTGCGCTTGGGCACAGAGGGAAGGCGTGTGAGGACGTAGTGAGAAGGAAGCCATCTGCAACGCATGTAGAGAGGCCTTCAGAGAAACCAAACCTGCCAGCACCGTGATTTTGGACTTCCAGGCTCCAGAACTGTGAGAAAATAAATTTATGTTTTTTAACGTTCCTAGTCTGTGGTGTTTTGTTATGGCAGCCTTAGCTGATGGACACTAACAGATATAAAGTTTTTTCTACGTGGTAGTCATATTCTGAAGCATTTTACATACAGTAACTAATTTAAATTACTTAATGACCCTATAAGGCACATAGTGGGATTATTTTCACTTAATAGAGCAGAAAACTAAGGCACGAAGAGAATAAGAAAATAATACAGATGAAATAAAACAGCACCACTCTAGAGTGTTATATTATACTGCTTCTTGCTAAAATAATTTCCTTTGCATCATGTATGGGAAAGCCCTTTTAGGATTTCATTCATTCGACAAATCTTAAACACCTGTTATGTGCCAGACACTGAGTTAAATCCTGGGGCTGCAATAGTGACAAAGATAGATATGGTTTGTGTCCTCCTTCAACTTAAATTCCTTCCAATGAGGAAACTTAAGTTTGGTGGCTCAAAGTTAGATATATATCACCAATAGCCATAATATTTGGTAGCTCACAGAAGCCCTTTCATAGGGTGAAGTGCTGATGAATAAGTAGAATATTATTTCCCCTCTCTATTCATATATTAGTATCATATCCATTTATTACAATTAATTCATAAAAGTTGTGTTATATAAATTTTAGCCCTCTTCTTTAAAGCAACCTATTTCAAATGTTTAATGCTGAATTTCAATTAGTATAAATTTTACCCATCTGGATATTTATTCTGTTAATATTAAAATGGCTTTATATTGCTATTTTACTATTTCATATGTGACTATCCTATTTATTCAAAATGGTTCTAGGTTTTTTTTATAGTAAAGACTATTTTATAGTTGTATGTGGTCTCCCAAGTGATTTTGAAACTGCCTGTGCAAAATTATGACAGTAAGAGAAATCTGACTTAGTTTACTTTATCTTGCTGCTAATCTCCAAGCTGTCCTTGGTCATTCCTGGACAGAAGCCAGGCTAACCTTGGGAGGAATAGAGTTTATAGTTTAAATTTAAAGCAAGGATAATGATAGCCCTTCCCGAAAACTAACACCACCTTTGTAAAGCTAATGAAAATCCACAAGCTTAGGATTATGAGAGGGCCCTAAGATTTCAGCTAAGATGCAGACATAGCTAACACAATAACTGGCTATTACAGAGATTACAAGATATATAACTTCCCCAATTGTTCCTATAGAAAACACCACTATTGTAGAACCTAAGATTTGTTGTTTGAGATGTTTTTGCAGACTTTTTCATTCTGGCAACCAGTGGACCCCACCTGGACTTGCGACTCATAATTCAATCAGTCCTGTAGCCCCCAACCCAGGGGAGAACTCAGCGCAAAAGGTCACTTTTCCATACCCCTATGATGGAATCCCCAACCAGTTAGCAGTACCAAACCCCTAGACCCTTGCCCACCAAACTGGCCTTGAAAAACCTTAACCTCCGAGCCTTCAGGGAGATTGATTTGAGAAATAACTCCATCTTTTGTGTGGCTGGCCTCATGTCAATTAAACTCTTTTTTATTGCAATACCATGGTCTCAGTGAATTGATTTTGTCTGTGCAGCAGACGGGAAGAACAAATTGGGCACTTACAACTTAGCATGTTTTAGAGTAGATGTGAAGTATTCCATTAAGTTGCACCCATCTTAATGTCTGAGGATAAAAGTACAGGGCCTTGTGCATGTTGGCATTTCAGCACGCATTCTTTGGATTGTATTGAAGTAAAACCACTTTAGTTGCTATTTAAGATGTTTTCTTTTTTGCAGCATGGCTTCTTAAAGTGCTATATGGACTAATGTCAATAAGAGATTAAGGTTACTTATCACATTTTTGTCATTATTAAGATGAAATAACATATCACTTGAGGGAAACTAACATATATGTTTAAAACTGGGTTTATATTTAAAACAAAGTAGGCAGGAAATACTATTAAGTGTTTCATCAAATTTGCTGCCAGGAGCCAAGGTGTAAATTACATAGGGAAGAACAAGTCTACAGATTTTTCTAACATATATAAAATAATAGCCAAGAAAATAAGTTAAGACACAGGAAACCAGTTGAAATTAAAGACATTTCTTGAAAAACTAAAAAGCCTCCACAGTATGAATAAAATAAAATAAAATAAAATTGCTTCTCAAACTTAACACCTAAAAGGTAGTTACTCCTTTCCTGAACATTTTCCTCCTTGTAACTGAATTACCATGTGTCACCAAGAGCTAATTTACCTACTTTTTTTTTTTTTTTGAGATGGAGTCTTGCTCTGTTGCCCAGGCTAGAGTGCAGTGGTGTGATCTTGGCTCACTGCAACTTCCTTGTCCCAGGTTCAAGGAACCCTGCCTCAGCCTCCCAAGTAGCGGGGACTACAGGTGCATGCCACCACACCTGGCTAATTTTCTTTTTTTTTTTTTTTTTTTTTCGTGGAGATGGGGTTTCACCTTGTTGCCCAGGCTGGTCACGAACTCCTGAGCTCAGGCAATCTGCCCTCCTCAGCCTGCCAAATTGCTGGGATTATAGGCGTGGTGAGCCACCGCACCTGGCCATACCTACATTTTTATGTTAAACAGTGTGAACAAAGGCAGAAAGGCAAGTAGCCATTTGGCCAGGATTTCAGATCTGGCCTCCACTCCCATTCTAACTCCATTGTTTCAAAAAGAGTTGCATTAGTGAAGGGAGTCAAAAATAATAAATGATAGAGTTAGAACAATATTGCTGTTGAACTTCACATTGTCTGACCTTTGACAGAAAGCAGCAGAAAAAGGACCTGCTTGTATTTCCTGTCTCAGTGGATGATATATTTTGAGAATTTGCTTTTGTATTTAACTTCTGTTACTTTATGTGTAAGTGGTTTGAACATACCTTGTGTATGTTGTAGGCAGCATTTGCTTCATAAAATGTCACATTGATGTATTTCTGGCTTACTGTATAAGTGAATTAGTAACTGTAATGAGTTATTGTGTTCCATATGTATTTTTTTAGTTGTTTTGGTGATGAAACATATGGTTTTACTTTCTACCCATTGAAATCCTGTGAATATAAAAAGCTCTGCCAAAGATCAGTGGGTGAGTCTGTTAAAAGTGTACATAGTTTTCATTTTTAAAGTTTACAGTCAAATATATTTTAACTGTACGAATCAATAATAGTGCTTGTTAACTTAATTCATATCCTTCGTGAACATGGTGAAATGGTGATGCATATGCCTGTGGCCCTTACTCTTATCTCAGAGTTGAGATACAAAAGTAAAACATCTTTGCCATGTTCATGACTGATTGACCTATAACCAGTGTCTATCCTCATTTTTCTATCCTTCCTTTTCTCTTCTTCCTCCTCTTTTCCCCTTCCTCTTTTTTTATTCTCCTCTTTATCTGTCTAGTTTTTCTCCAACATCAATAAAGTCAACATTAGCTCACTTGAAAATCACAATTTGAGAAATCTTTCATTTTCTTAAGTTTATAGGTTTATTATAAAGAATATTACAAAAGATATCAATGAATAGATGCATAGGACAAAGTATAGGGGAAAGGGCAAGAGCTTCCATGTCCTCCCCTGAATGCATCACCATTTAGGAACCTCCATGTGTTCACTATCTGAAAGCGCTCCTAACCATGTCTTTTTGGGTTTCTGTGGAGACTTCATTATACAGACGTGCTTGATCAAACCACTGTCCCTTGGTGATTAACTTAACTTTTAGCTCCTCTTCCCTCCCTGGAGATTACAAGTGGGCTCAAAATTCCAAGCCTCTACAATGCCTTGGTGGTCTTTCTGTTGACCAGCTCCCATCCTGAAGCTACCTAGGGGCTGCCAGCCTTCAGTCCATCATTAGCATGCAAAAAGGCATCACTGGGCCTGGCATGGTGGCTCACATTTGGAGTCTCAGCAGTTCGGGATAGTGAGGTAGGAGGATCACTTGAAGCCAAGCATTTGAGACCAGCATGGGCAACATAGCAGGATCCCATCTCTACAAAAATTAAAACAAAAACCAAAAGACATCACTTAGGAGATTCCAAGGATGTTAGGAATTGTAGGACAGGAAACTTGATCAAAGACCAAATACATATTTTACGTATTTTACAATAACACTATCCCCACCCAACCCCTCCTTTGAGCCTTATCCCTTACATTAAAGGGATATAAATCTCAAAAGATGTTTTTACATTTATCGTTAGCCTAGTCCTCCATATTATATGAATGTCTCCCAGGGTGAGGACACTGAGGTTGGCAGGTTTCACTTCCATCTAAAGCAAGAATGGTTTTGGCAAACATGTAGCTTCACCCACTCAGAAACTCGTATATTTGATCTAAGAGACAATATCTTGCTCTGAGCCTCTTTCAAGGTGTTAATGTAATATTAGATTGCCCTGAATTCATTACCCATTTATTTTTCCCTTTACCTTCAGGTAATATTTATTCTTTTGATTAATAAATTTTGGAAGGGATATTGGAAGCACCACCGAGCTGATCTAGATTACAGGCATCAGTACCAGTGTGGGTAGTGCCTCCTTCTCAGTCCACTCCCATTTAGGTAGGGTAAGACTACATAGGTGTCAAACTAGTGGCTTATTTTTATCACCAGGCAATATAACTTCTTTTACTGTTAACTATATTTTTGCACATCCCACCTCCATCAAGCCTTTAGGAATTCTGGCATAAGGTTTAAAAACAGAGTTTCTTGCTTAAGAATAATCTCTGCTTCTGCTTGCACTTGCAGCTCTGACCTTAGGATCACTGCATCAGGTAAAGGAAAGACAAAAAGTTGAGGTGATGTGAGAAGAAAGAAATAAAACAGAAAGTATAACATTTATATCAGCATACTCCTTCCTTGTTAAGAATTGCATAGTAATACCAGCATCTTTCTTCACCCCTTCTTCCCCAGATCAACCAGAAAAATGAAGGAGACATTCCATGAGCATACGTACTTGTGAAGGCTTGTAAGCCAGACCTTCACGTCTTTATCTCCACCTACCTTACAAAACCAGTTTTAATTGCCTGTTTCACTTCTCTATCAATTACTCTGAGGAGATCTCTCTGCCCATTTTTGGACACTATGGGCTATTGTGTGTTTCTTACTTCCTTGCTTTGAAGAAACGACAGTCAGCTGTCCAAATTTGTGCAATAGTTTCTGTTCTAGTTTGTTTTTTTGAGATGGAGTTTTGCTCTTGTCGCCCAGGCTGGAGTGCAATGGTGTGATCTCAGCTCACTGCAACCTTTGCTTCCTGGGCTCTCCTGATTCAGCCTCCCAAGTAGCTGGGATTATAAGCGTACGCCACCATGCCCAGCCAATTTTTTTGTTTCATGTTGGCCAAGGTTTCATGTTGGCCAGGCTGGTCTCGAACTCTTGACCTCAAGTGACCTGCTCACCTAAGCCTCCCAAAGTGCTGGGATTATGTTCTAGGTTGTGTGTGTGTGGTTTTTTTGTTTTTGTTTTTGTTTTTAATATAGCACTCTGAGCATTTGCATCTTCCAACAGGTAAGCATAGCCCAGTCCAGAATCAGTGTCCATTCTTGTCAGGAGCCATTTATAGCCCCCAAGGGCTACCAGCATCAGTCTCACTTTTCAGGTTTTTTCAGTATCTTCCTACCAGAAAATCTGCTCCAGAACCACTGGCAGTCTCTGTCTCTCTTGCTGACAAACAGAACAGTTCTTACTGGCATTTAGACTCAGTGCATCTCTGTATTGCTGCAGTAGCCCCATATCCACTTATTTCATGGACCAAGGTGGCCACTCAAATGAGCACATGGGAATATCTGCTTGTCAATTTCAGTCACTGTCTGAACTTGGAAGGGCACTCTTCTCATGGGTATCCACATGTCCTACCTTATTGTGCCCCTCAAATTTCCCTAGTACTGTGCCCCTTATGACCATCCCTTTAAAAGGCTAGATTTCCATTGTCTGACCATGTGGTCAGGTCATTGGCCACTGCCCACAAGTCAGTAAAAACCCAAACACAAGGGCTTTTACCACTGTTCAATTCTTCCACCACCACTCGGAAAACAGCATGCAATTCAGCCCACCAAAATGATTCAATTTTACTTTCCTTGTTTAGAGTGGCACCCTTCCAAATAGAATACTGTCCATTCACACCGGAAGTGCCATCCACAAACTAAGCTGCTCTTTGTCAGTCAGTGGAGAGCTACTCATAAGAAAAAAGGGGATCCCTGCTTGTATGGATCTCCTGTTTTCACTTCCCAAGTAGCATGATCCTTATCATTTCTATTGTATTATCGAATTTTTCCGGGCAGCACTATTCCCATTACAGTGTTTCTCTGACATCACCTGAGACACCATGGTTATTTCAAATGCCAAGATAATTTTATGTCCTTCAGTAGATGAAGAGATGCATAGGCTAAGGTGCAGGAAAGGACACATAGCTTCCACACCCTCCCCTGGGTAAGACACCCTCCAGGAACCTCCACTTGGTTCAGCTTTCCAGAAGTTCCAGATATCTGTTATCTTTATCTTTCATTTAGTTATTTTCACAGATTTTCTTACCTTTAATTTTTTTGTGTTAAGGTACATGAGGAGTAGGTCTCATTTGTGACCTATTTTTAGTTTTAAGAACAGAACTTTTCTTAATAAAGAGTACACTGCGAAGGCTTACTCCATTTTGGATGGAGAAGGTCATAAGAGACTATCACTCTCACTCTAGTAACCCAAACAATTTAAATTGCATCATTACAGTTTATTATTGAATCAAAGACAGCTGAAGGTGGAAAGAAGCTAAATTTAGGAAGTGGCAAGATGCTCACAAGAGAGAAGTTATCCACTGCTGTGCTCATCCCTGACTGAACAGAGGGAAATAAGTCTTCCTTAGTAGTACAAGCTAGGGGAAAATCAGCATATGGTCCAGCGTGACAGCGCTACAGTCCCCTATCCCCAGCACTTTCCGACAGGTTTCAGTGAGTGCTGGGAGTACTGTCCCCCCAATGGAGGCAGCCAATGAGATCTGAGCGAAACTCCTGCTGGTACTCTGTGCTTCCAGCCAAGGAAGATAAAAGGAAGAATGAACCGAGAGGAATCTCTTTGAGGAAATATTTGCCTTCACAAAGCATGGTCTGCTTTACAGTTCTAACCACCCTCTCAGGGCCAAGCATGGGGCAGCAGGACTGAAAGAGAGCTCCCAAGGTTCAGGAAGTAGGGGGCAGGGGTGTAGATCAAAGAGAACATCCCAGTGACCTAAAAATAATGTCAATCAGGCTCTAAAGAAGTGATAGATTTCTCACAATTCATAAGGCAGGGAGCTCACCTGTGAAATATTTACACATTGCTGGAAACTCACCAGTGTTCAGATCCCAAGCTCTGCTGAAGAAAACTCTTGATCCTATAGTCAAAATAGGGTGAAACTGAATTGAACTGAAGCTGCAACAAAGTCCAGAGATGGCCCAACTACAGAGCGTACTGTCTCAACCTCCACTATTTTGACCTGATAAGAGAATAGGTGTGTCTCTTTGTAAAGAAGGAAGTAATAATAATAATAATAGTAGTAATAGTAATAATGAAATCACAATTTAATGAAAGATATATTATTTCTATATGAAACAGAATAACACATTTTGTCTCTTTATTCTTTTCTATGATTTATATTATATTATCCTACTGGACAATTGACATATAAGAACATAAGTACTGAGTTGCATGAGATATGCATGAATGCTTATCTAGAAGCTAATTTTGTTATATATCAAAACAGAAGAAATAAGAGCGTAAAATAATCTTGGTATAAATTAAAAAAAGACCATTGGTTATCAAATGTAAATGTAAAAATTTAAATTTTTGCAAATAATCCTTTATTCTTGATTATTCCACTAGTTTGATGAGTATTCAAATAAAAATAAATGCCCCAAGTGAAAAGGAACAGGGCTCAAACATTTTTCACATACTAATGTTCAGTCTGTTCATAGATTTAGGTTTTGTATCCTATAGGCTATACTAACAATTTTCCACAGGACTTACTGAAGGCCAAGGATAAATATTTACATTACTGAGGAATGTATAGGAGAAAAAAAGGATTTTTAAAATCCTCTTTCTACTCTCTCTCCCTTCCATTCCTCTCTTTTCCTCCTTTCCTTCCCTCCTCGTCTTCCTCCTCCTTCTTCTCCTTCTAGTAAGTATAAATGCGACACATATTCTTGGTAATATGTTTGAATACACAGAATGATAAATAGAGAAAACTACAAATAATCCATAGTTCCATTAACTAGAGACAACAACCATTAACATGATTTTTCTTCCTATTATTTTTCACAATGAGTCTTATCTGCATCTTTGAACCTTAGGCTATTATTTTTAATTGTCTGAAGGCAAAGGACAAGATGAAGGTGAATGGCAGAAATAATAAATGGAAGGAAACTGGGGCCTTGGTATTGCTGAGCCAACAGATTAGCCAGCTTTGAAATTTTTTTTATAGTTTGTAAGTATAGGCATATTTTACTGTTATTTAAGCCATTGTGAGTAGGTTTCTGTTGCTTGCACCACATTCTCTTAGAATGCATGTGTTTCTTCCTTATCCCAAGCATCTACTCAATTTTGTTGTTGTTGCTTGAGAGGGAGTCTCGCTCTGTCACCCATCCTAGAGTGCAGCGGTGTGATCTCGGCTCACTGCAACCTCCGCCTCACAGTTTCAAGTGATTCTCCTGCCTCAGCCTCCTGAGTAGCTGGGATTAGGATTACAGGTGCCTGCCACAAAGCGTGGCTAATTTTTGTATTTTTAGTAGAGATGGGGTTGCACCGCATTGGTCAGACTGGTCTCTAATTCCTAACCTCAAGTGATCCACCTGCCTCAGCCTCCCAAAGTGCTGGGATTACAGGTGTGAGCCACTGTGCCTAGGTGCATCCACTCAATTTTAATTGTCAGATCCATCATCAGACAGTGTTCTGCAATATTAGCAGATATCAGAATCACCTGGAGATCTTGTTAAACTACAAATTGCTGAGCCCGTCCTATAGTTTCTGACTAATAGGTCTCGGTTGAAAATTTACATTTCTAACAAGTCCACAGGTAACTCCAATATGTACTGTTGGTCTAGGAACCACCTGTTGAGAATCACTCATTAATGTTAGGAAACTCAGGAAAAAAGTACAATTTTAGTTGCCAAGACTTTGGAAGACACAACGATCCTAATAATGGGCCTTCCTCACTCTGAAAACTATTTTTTTTTTGGCGGCGGGTGCGGGGGTAATGGAATGTTTCTGATATGGTTTGGATCTGTGTCCCCACCTAAATCTCGTCTTGAATTGTAATCCCAATGTGTCAAGGGAGGGACCTGGTGGGAGGTGATTGGATTATGGGTGTGGTTTCCCCAATGCTGTTCTCACGATAGCGTGTTAGTCTCACGAGATCTGATGGTTTTATAAGTGTTTGGCAGTTCCTCCTTCAATTACTCTCCCTCTTGCTCTCTCGCCTGCTGCTGCGTAGGACGTGCTTGCTTCCTCCTCGGCTTCTGTCATGATTTTAAGTTTCCTGAAGTCTCCTAGCCATGCTTCCTATTAAGTCTGCAGAACTGTGAGTAAATTATACCTCTTCCCTTGATAATTACTCAGTCTCAAATAGTATTCTTTATAGCAGTGTGAAGAGACTAATTCATTTCCTCTTCAGTTGTGAATTGTAAGAAGCTTATAATCTGATGATAAAGGATAATTGAGGCATAATGAGTAATGGCTGGGAGAAATCTTATTTAGTGTTCTGGAGGTTATGTGTGTGTGCACTCAGTAGGGTCCTCGGTTACTTCAGGGACCTAGAGGATGATAAAAAAGGAAAAAAAAAATCCTGCAGTTCAATTGAGTATATTTACACATATGCCCTCTCTCTCTGTTTATTCTCAATCCATACCCCCAAACATCAATACATCTATTCAACTGACATGCAGAAAACAAATGCACTTCAATTTATCCATGAATGCATATCTCTTGGCTCTTTTCAACAAAGGATTTCTTTGTAAAAAATAAAGGATATGTAGACAATTTTTGAAATTTTCTATTAAGTTAGGAGAAAAAACCCCCACAATATTGGTGTGTGTGTATACGCCTTTCAGTAGATACTTTAGGAAACTAAAATGGAAGATGGAAAACAATCTGAATTCATCTCTCATGATGTGGTATCGGGTCCATTTATTGTTGTTTTCTGTACTTTTTCAATGTTATTCAATTCTATGCATTTTATCTTTGGTAACAACTTCAATACACATTCTTCATAAAGGTAGTTAGAGTAATACTAAAAATAACACAAGTCACGTCACAATAAGGCAACTCGTCAGGACCTGAGGTAATTCACTGGCATGTTCTGTCTGTGGAAAGGAAACTATTATTGGTTTTGACAAATTGGCTGACCCTATGCAAAATTCAAATCCAAACTCTGTTTAAAATCCAAGTGAGTTGTCTAAACATTAATCACTGAGGTTAGATGAAGGCTTACTTCATCGGTATTCAGCACTTTGCCTTAAGATGAAAGCAGGGAAGAAACCTCCTCGGTTGGAGAGGAAATAGTCTTATCTGAGACCAAAGACTGACATCATTTGCTCATACCCAACTCCCATTGACTTCAATCAACTTCAACTTCCTATCAGAAAGAATTTTGCTACAGGTTAAAATTTTGAGCTTCACTGATAGTATTACAAGAGGATCAAGGCTTGTAATAATGAGTTTAATATCTTGGATACAGAAGGAATAATTGGATTCTGGCAAGTATTTTAAATGTTATTGGCTTAGTGAATTTTATTTTTATTGTAGATTCTAAGGTAGATTATATGTATGTATGTATATATATAAAGATACCTAAAAGGGATGCACAATATTATTTTAGTGTTGCATAAAAGATTTTAAATTATTGGTTGAAGGAATTTGGCACACTTGTCAAAATAAGCAATATGTATTGTGATTAATTTGATTTTAACAAGAGCACCAGGTTTTTAAATTTGGCCTCTTCGATCATATTTGTTTCTTTCCTCTATCTCCCCTTTGTCAATCCTTAAAGTGAATTACAATAATATTATTATTTAATATAGTTATTTAATATAGTGTATGCCAAGTGTGTATGGCCCAGTACAGGGTGGATAGTTTCTTTATAAATGTTTGAGAGAGAAAACATTCATTCTTTCCTTACATTACTCATATAATATATAAAAAACCCAACGCTTAGAGACATAAAGTAATTGCCCAAGCACCAACAGCTTATAAAAATATTCGTAAGCCCACAGCTCATGTCTATTGAATCTTGGTTTAATGCAACTGTTATATAGTATTTTCAGTTCTTAACACAATTATTGGGATGAATTTTATTGTTTATTTGCTTTTAGGATCCATAATGGTCAAACGAACTGATCATGATCACATGTTTATTCACTGACATCTACAATTTCAATTTGACTTGTTGGCTTTAAATCTTGTATTTGACTAAATGCTCCTTTTAGACATCATTTTTAAAGGCTATATAATGTTCTTCCAGGTATATGTACCAGAGTTGTCAAACCATGTTTCTGTCTGGAGAATTTCAACACCTTTTAGTTTCTTAGTAAACCACAGTTGCTAATTATAAGAATGAATGAAATATTTCCCTTCCCCCACCTCTGTTTTATGTGTGTGGTGGGGGAAGGGGAGTATTTGTCAACATCTGTCAATTTACAATTAGCTTTTGTTTTTTCCGCTTTTTAATGAGACCTCCAATTAGCCATGTATCTATCATAAGTTTGTCTTGTATTTTTCTTTGTACTCACTTTCTAATTTTGCCATTTTTCTCTACTAGATAATCATATTAACTATTTAGTTTGTATGTCTTCAACCTCAAATAATAGAAAATATTCTCAGAAATTCTAGTTGTAATGAAAGGCTAGTCAGAATATTTTTCCCTTAAATCTGTTCTTAGGTTATTAGAATGCCCCAACTGAATCCATGGCTTATCTCATTGAGGACTTGTTGACTCACTTTTATCCTAAAAGCGTAAGCTCCCAAATTTCTGTGTTGGGAATATTTTGGTGGAGAATGAGCCTGGAAGTTGTACCGTGTGTTGTTAGGGGGACACCTAGGGAATGATAAAAATTAAAGAACCACAATTCCATATTCACATGTATTCATTTTAAAGGAAAGTAAAAATAACTTAGGCTGCTGAAAATGAAAACCACTGATAGTTTTCTTTTGTGGAATAATCTTTTATTTTGCTTCTTTTGATGGCAAATAACCAAAGCCCTGGAAGCTAGCACAAATAAAGTTAATTCACTGCAATCATCACAATGGAGCAAAAACCAGAATTTCATGAAAATCCAAGGAAGAGGTATAATGAAGATGTATCTCACTGACACTGAAGCTGTATGATAGTCTCAAGTTTAGAAAATTCTAGAAGACTGCACTAGCAAAGATTAAGGTTTAACACTAGTATTGTTGCATTTATGTGATACATTTCATATTCACTGGTTGGAATAAATGGCACTAGAGAGAAGAAAAGCAATACTCATTTTCAGTTAAAATCCAGCACTTGCTTTTTTAGTCAAGTCTATCCCCAGTTAGAACACAAAATACCAAAGAAGCGCTTATTTGACTCATCAAGAAACAAGAGCTTAATGCCTTTAAATATGAGTGAGATTAAAAAAACTTTTTACATAATCAAAGGCTAATGAATGATTATCTTTTGAGGATTCTTTTGGAAATCATTGAAATGACAAATCATTCTGCTAAAAAGGAATATTAAAGATATTTATTTCTGAATGATAAGGAATGTCATTGATAGATTTATTTTAACCCATTTTTATTTGGTGCATTAAACTTTCAAAGTTCTCATTTAACTTTGTAGTTCTTAAACTCAGACCAATTTTTCATGTAAGTGTAACATTGATATTGTTTTATTTTAAACATGCATCTTTCCTTTATGTAAATCTGAGACTTTTTAAAATATAGGTATGAAAAAAATCAGTAATTTATCCTTCATATAGAATAGTCTTCTTTTTAGTCTTTTACACTTGCCATGGTATTCTTATTGTGTTTTCTTATTCTGTCTTCAATGAAGCCTCTAGACTTCAAGTCCTAGATCACTAGTGTGAGTAGAGTGGCAATGAGGAAATGAAAAGGAGTGGACAGTCATTAGGTTGAAATCACCTATTAGAAGTGAACTTTCCAATGTGTTTCAAGGCTTGAGTGATGTGACTGAGACTTCAAGACACTACACCACATCAAGAAAGTATTTTTCTTCTAAGGTGGAACTCAAGGATCTTATCTTTAAGAGTAATAGCTTTCAGAAGCATTCTATAGATATTAGCCTTCCTAAGCTCTGAAAACTGACATTTATTGGCTTTCTTTACATCTTAAATATTTCAAGAGGTAATTGGAATATCCCTTAAGGAAAACATAATGGGTCCACTTAAGCTGATTTGCTTTGCTGGATGTATGTAGCTATAGATTATTACTTTTATAATAAAATGATGCTTTCATTACACTTGTATTTCAGTGCTATCAGAGCCTACTCATCTGACTGTGAGAATGCTGAAAGGTAGAATTCATATATCAATGACACATTCTGTTCCAAATTACACAAATACGTTATTACACAGAAAAGCAAAATGGTTTCGTTAGCAAGATGGGACTATAACCTCTGTGTTTTTTAATGTTTTCAGTAATTTGGTCATTTCTGAAAGCTCCTCCAGACACATTCTAGATCCCATGAACACAATGGCAAGTGCCATGGTGGGTACCCTAGACCTGCTCATTCTAAGTAAATTCTGGTATGTCATACTTTGACTACAGGAAGCAGTTGGCTTTCAAATTCCCCCTTATACCTTATTGCTTTTCATCTTGCTCTAATAGTTGTAAAATATATTATGTTCATCTCCATAAGAATATAATTGAGACTACCATCTTACTATTTAAGGAGACCTAGGAATTTAAAATGGTTTTATCTAGAAATTCAAAGAATCAAGCTCAGGTACAATGTCAGACTCAGGTAAAATAAACTGTTTTTTAGTGGCTTATCATAATTCGGCTACAGACTTGACATTTATTCTAGTTGCTTTTAATGTTGACCTTTCTAAAATTCATGTTCTAGCTGTGCTAATGGATGTTTCAAAACATATGAGTACAGCTCAGGGAAGCTGATGGACTTTATTTCTTAAAGGTGTTACAGTCTCTTTTGACTTAAAAAAAAAGTTTTAAAAGAGAAGTCTGACCTTTTCCTCCTTCTTCAGGTGGAATTCCTAATTTTTCCTAATTCTTCAGGTAGAATGCTGTGTCTGAGAAAGTGTGTGTGTGTGTGTGTGTGTGTGTGTGTGTGTGTGTGCATTAGTGCATAGGCTAAAATGTGGCAGGGAAAGAAGCCAAAATGACATAGCTGCTTTTATCAAAAGATATAAAATGATCTTTTATAGCTTGTTGTTCTTATATGCCCTTACAGTTTATATTGTGTTAAAATCATATTAAAGATGTATATTATATACATATATTTATTTTATGTATGTATACATACATAATTATATATATACACACACACACACTTCACCTAGTATATATCGCCTAGTAAATGCCAAAATGAAAAGTTCAGGCTGTCTTAAATAACAATGAAGCCAGGGATCTCACTGCTGTCCATAGCTCATCAGGAGGTCAGGCACTGTAAACTGCGCCTCCAGAAGTAGGTGATATTTTCAAAACTGTGTGCTTCCATTGATAACAGCTCCTTTGAAAAATAAGCAACATATTCATAAAAGTAAATGTAGAAACTAACAAGACAGATATTTTACTCATTTCATAACTACAGAAAAAGTTTGAATTTTACATGCCAATGCTCCATTTATTGAAGTAGGAAACTGGAAGCATGTCTATTGTAAAAAACCGTTGTAGAGCTTTTAAAAAAGAGGAACTTATACTACTATAGTATAACATGATACATAACTAGCAAATGCTCCTTTTCATAGACTTATTTTTATTTTGCTATGAAAACTTCTTTATGCATAACAATAACTTACATTTTTTGACTACTTGGCGTGCTGTCCATGTATTTTCTCATGTAAAATTTCAATAGAAGCTTCATTTTACAAATGAGGGAACTAAGAAACAGGGAGAATAGTAAGTTTTCCAAAGTCACGTGGCTGATAATTAAAAAAACAATTTTCAGCATACCTGCTGATCTAGAGCCCTATGTCTAACTGCTACTATGTATGAGGCTTCTGTGGGGAATAGAGTGTGTCTTACTAAACACTTTTTGATCAATCACTCAAAGTTTAAAAAACAAAGAAACAGCTCATTTTTAAAAAATACCCCAGATAGAAATATTTTAACCACATTTAGATATACAGTAGGAGTCTAAAGAATGGATTAGAATCAAATGCTTTTCTGGTCTAATTAAATAACAGCATTATGAAAGAAAAGCTGGGCTTTCCTTAAGTATGTACTTAAGAGCACATAGTTGTTCATAATCAGCTTAGTTATCATCAAGATGGAAACTTAACTATTATGTTATTAGGCATAATTTAGTGGTTTGAATTTTCCTTCCTATAATCATTTTGTAAAACAGTCTGCCAAAGTGCAAATTGCTTTGTTTTGCTGGTAGGCAATTTGGGGCTAAAGGAAGCTCCTTAATATGCCAAACGTTGGCATGTTGGTCAGCTCTTTAGTTGGTGAATAAATGATGAAATTGTAGGGAACATTTTTATGTTTAATTTGAATGCAAATTTTACTAATCTAACTCTCTGGCTTGTAAAATGTTTTTGAATTTGTTGGGTAGGTTTCCATGCATGTGGCTCCATTTGCACACAGCTATGCATTTCATTTACTTTTGATCCGTTCTCTTCTAGCTAAATATTTTGAAGCTTGTCTCTTGATGGAAGTTAGGGAGAAATGAAACTTGAAGAACAGCAACATTGTTTGGTGAGCTTAAATTTAGATGACATCTTCTGATTAGATAATGAGGTCAGGGACCCACCAGTGGAATCTTGACTTGGGGGTGACATGACTGTGTCACTCTAGAGATAGAGTGTGGGGAAATAATTTGCTTTTTCTGAGTTTCATCTTCTTTACCATCAGTTGGAGTGTGATGAGATTGATGTGAATGAAGTGATATCTAAAGTTCCATTATACTGCAGTTCTGTTATTTTTATGTGGTTCTACCTTCTAAAGTTATTTTCCTTTTTTAAAAAGTGAGATTTGAGATTCTGCATCTATACAGTTTACCTATGAAACTGAGTAAGGATTCCTTCATCAGTTTGACTCTTTTTGGTGCCCAGGAAAATAAGATAGATGGTAAACCAGTAAATATCTTGTTTGCTGCAATAACTTGCTAAAAATCAATGTATACAGGAAATAGGCTGCTCAAATACTTCTCTTTTTCAAGACAATAGCTGTTCATTTGGGCAAGCAGCCTCTTTCTTAGAGCAATAAATTGCTCTAATAGGCAAACTGTTTGATTATCAAGGAGTTGTCTTTCTTTTTAAGACTTACCAATATCCTCACCTCACTGTGTTAACTAATCCCAAACTATTGTATCACGATTTTGCCAAATCCCAATCAGATATCCATTGACAAGCCAACTTAAACCACTATAGGTTAATCCTCAAACCCTATAAATATTTGTCCCCTAACCCCTATTCCTTTTGAAATCTAAGACTCTGTTTAGGTGGTATTGTTATTTACTGTAGTAGGTATTAAACCCAACTTCACATGATTATCAGATGTTTTTGTGGTCTCCTTGGAAGTTGGCAGTCAAAATTATTACCGTTTCTATTTTACAGATAAGTTATTTGATGCGGAAGAGTTAATGACTTGCTCATGAAAGCACAAACGATCAGGACAATGCTTGTACAAACACTGGGTTTCCTGATTCTTATCTCACTGTTTTTGGGGCATTTAGTAGCATTATGAACAACATTTCTTTATGGCTTTTAGTAGTTCAACAGTAAAATCATGACTTAGATGGAAAATTTGAGATAACTGATTTTATATTGAGGCTAAAAAAATAGTATCACGCTCTGTTGAGGTGCTAAAACTCATGCCAGTTCTGTTAGTCAACACAAAGTCACCCAGTTGATACTTTAACCATCACCTACACAGCACTGTTCTAAATGCTTTATAAATATGATCTTATTTAATTTTCATAAATGACAATGAGGTATATCCTGTAATTGTTCTAACTTCACTGTTGACAAAACTGAGAGATGCAGTACCACAGCTAATACAGAACAATCTCCAAATTTCTAATCAAGCCATCTAGGCCCAGAGTCTATGCTTTTAATCATTACTCTGTGCTGCCTAGTCTAATCATAGATCATATAAAACTTTTCATTGAAAAGTTCCAGACCCTAAAATTGTGTTTTTCTGTCTTCTTATTATTTATAGGAAGGTGATTTAAATTGCAGGAGGGTTTCATAGTGAACTCCATGATGTCAAAGATAATACTTACTTCAAAAATATTATCTATGTAGGTGCCAGAATTTCTACTGTTAATTTTTCCTTGGTATTATGGCTTTCCAAAATGTTAACATGAATGAGTTTATGAGATAAACTTGCTTCATGTAGTACAGACAACAAAGTATTTATAGGGAAAGTAATCTAGAAAAAAAAAAAGGAAAACTGTAAGAAAAGTAAGGTTTACCTCCTGCATCACATTCATGAGGGTTTTCTCCTTCTTTGACAAATTCTTTATCTTGAACATTTCCCGTTGACTAGACCTTTTCCCCTCTTTTCAAAACTGAGGGTGTGAGCTTTCAAATCAGGCAGGTGGAACCAAAGAATGTATTAATGGCCCAATCCCACATTTCTCCTTCTGGCTTACAGGGAAATGAAACAAGCCTATGGAGAAGTGGTAGTGAGCTGCCTCATCTTCCCACTCTGAATCTGTTTGGCTGCAATCAGTCTACTCACTGGGCATATTTCTGGATCAATTTTAGAACATATTCAAACACTGTTCAGCAGAGAGGTCTTCTACAAGTCCTACTTTCCCTGTGTCTCATTTATTCTATAGTGTCATTAGTAAATGTTTAACCTGGCTGTGGTATTTACTGAGGCCGCCTGTGGTCAAAAGAACAAGAGAGAAGTTGCTGAAGATAGTGATGATTCTGGACAAGTTAATTTGTCTCCAACCTGCTCATATTTTAGGGTTTGTGAAGCTATCTTATCATATATTTTTGTAACATATATGCTCTTTTGTTTTTGTTGCTTTTATTTGTTTTGTTTTCTTTTGCAACTTTAGTTCTGTTTTTATGGGGGAGGGGGTTGGAGAGATAAACCAAACTTGCCTGCCTTTTATCCAGTCCCCCAAAAGTATTCAGTAGACCTTGTAATGTGTGCATCAGGCTATAGTTTTCTATTAGCCTTTCCCTTGCCCTGCACAACACAGAGCCAATCAAGAGGTGCAACCCCACATCTTGTGAGCCTCCATCCCTCGACAATACTCCAGCCACACTAGTCTTTTGGTTTGTTGAACATGCTAAATTCTCTATTATGTCAGGGCCTCTCCTCATGTTTTTCCATACTTTTTTTTTTTACTTTTTTCCCCCTAACCCTTCACATGATGATGGTCTCTCAGTCATTTCCCTGGGTGTTTGCTTTCCATTGCAAGAGGCTCTTCGCCATTACCAGAAATCTGTGGGCACCAAACCACAAACACATCCAACAAGATGAGATTTGTCTTACTGCAACTTTAGAAACCACCGAAAACTTATCTAGAAGAGAACCTTTAGTTTCAAATACCACCTGACAACTTTATCCTAGAAGGTAAAATGAAGGATCCAAGACTGACTGAGTAAAGACCACAGCAAAGTCTTTAAGAAATTGCATGAAGCACAGGAAACATAATAGGAATACTGGCAAAAATTGGGCAACTGCTAAACTTACACTTACTGTAGGAGGGCAAAGATCCTTACTTTGTTTACAGTTGTAGTTTGGCAATGCCTAGCATAAAAGCCCTCCTTCACTTTATCATACCTTATGTCCCATGAACTTTTCATATAGTTCCCTAGGATATATATAAAAGCCTAGTAAATATATAGGTAAAAACTTATGGATTTGTACATCTCTGGGAGTTGTGGGGATTATGAATAAAATAATCATTCCTCCTTAATGGTAAATATGATGTGAAAAATTCTAAAACCTTAAAACTGAATTAATAATGTACAGTTTTTACTTTTCGAATGCTTGTCTCCTTTCAGTTATAATACTCTATTTACAGTGACTTATCATATTTTAATAATGTCCAGTATATTTAAATCTCAAAATTTATATTTTACCTTGTTTTCTCTTACTGTTTCTGCTTTCAGAATGTGAACACTTGTTGAAATTAAACTAGAGGCTTATTTACTTGTCAGTAGGAAGGCCTCCTAGCTGAATTGGTTCAAAACAATTTCTGGAAAGGTAGGTGGGTGCAGAAGTGGGATCTTGAGTTCTACTCTTGGAATCCACAGAACAGTTGTGTAAAGAAGTGAGGTGAAGTCACTCAGCTTCTGGCTGGTGCATACTCTCGTCATGTCTTCCCGCATGTAGATATTTCAGTAAATGGCAGAAACCATGTTTCAAAGTATTAATAGTCCACAACCTAATTTTCATCATATTGGCTGGCTTCTTCTCATTCTTCAGGTTTTAGTCCATTCTTCAGGTTCTTCCTCAGCAAGATCTTCCCTTACCTAACTTCATTCCAAAATATTTGTTGCCAAATAATCAATTAATTTATTCATTATAGCTTTATTCATTTGTAGTTTATCTACTATACTATATCATCCAGGAGAGCAAAAGTCTGGTTTTTTTTTTCTGTTTCATTATATCTCTAGCACTGATACTAGGGAAGCTGAATAAATTATTAGGAGAACACCAAATGTAAGCCTTGATATTTTTAGCCCAAATCTGACATCCAGCTTCAGCTTCAAATTCACCCTTAATATATACAACTTTTATTGGTCAAATATACCTCCATAAAGCTGGAAAGAAAAATGAGAAATTCAGCCTTAGGCTGAGGAAGGCTGAAGAGCTAAATGACAAACCTTCTGTATCATTTTTCACATCCTTAAATTTGTTCAAGATAATGATAGTTTGATCATGTAGATTAACATGCTACTTAATTGGCATTATTTAGACAGTGACAAATAGGCCATTTTTATGTCAGTTGCTGTTTTCAGGAAATACATTCTTTATTTTGAGAAATTAATATCTTTGGATGACATATCACATTGCCTGAGCACCTAGGGGCCATTCTTTTATACTTCTCTGGATATTTAATTACTTCAGTTCATGTAAAGTTTTTCTACCAATTTTTACCTCACAATCTTCAGTGTCCTGCTTATAGTTGGAGTACAAATATGAATTATTCTCCATTTGCCTCTGAATTCCAGCAAGCTGATTTATACATATTTGGATACATTAAGTTTGGGCTGGGGTTCAGGAATATGCCTTTTTAATATGCACCACACAGTGGCTTCTCATGAAGAACTTTTGGGTGATGACTGGCTGCTGTTAATACTTATCTGACTTTTTTTAATTTTTAAAGTATTAATTTTATTCATCTAGAGAGGGGTCCTATTATCAACAATAAGTCTCAGTCACCAGTTATTCCATTTGCTCAAAAACAATCACAGGAAAAGTTTCTTGTGTGGAGCCTCAATTCAGGAAAGGCCAGGTTTTCAAACAAGGGCAAATGTGTGTTTGAACTGGCAATCTGAGTTGTTTTCATGGATCCAACCTGAACGGATAATAGCAATATGATTATGATTATCATAATAGGTTGGCAATCATCCTCGATGTGTAAGCTATGTGGGAGGCCATAGTTTCATAATTCAGGAAGAAATAGGGTTTGTGATCAGATTGAGTGGGATAAAACATGTTATACACGACTGCAAATAGGCAATTGATTTCAGAGGCAATTGGTACTACAACCTGCAGATGGTTATTATTCCAGGGCAAGAACTGCCTGCCTTCTGCCATGGATTTAAGCAGCCATGAACATATGGCTAAAGACAACTAGTTCCCATTGTTCCCCTGACAAGACACAGTGCTGAGTAGAGATAATTGCCCTGGAAGTCTAGTTCCTTTGCAGGTTTTTTGTGGTTAAGACTGATCATTAATGACATTGCCCAAATTATCTCCAGCTTCTACTCTTGCCTCCTCAGTATTGCATCTTATATTGAATAAGTCAATGCCTAATGACTGTACTATTATTCGTTTTCAAGAAGTTGAACCAAAAATACTTTGCCATTAATAATTAATAATGTTTCCTGCCAACTACTTTCTTATTTGGCTTAGTTTCAAATTCACTAAAAACTGCCACTTCTCTGAATTCATAGCTCTAAATTTTATGAAAAACATGTTTGAAAATTGTTACCAGCTTAGCCTTACATCAAAAAAACAAAAATTATCTATATGAAAATGAGTCACTAATGAGTATGGAAGTCTGGAAAAATAGTAGGACAGAAAACTGAGAACCATAAATGTGTAGAAAGTAGGTCTGGATAAATTCTAAATTTTTTTTCCGTTCATACATTCTATAATACTGTGATTGTAGGACTTGATTGCTTTCTGTTTTGCTTGTTAGTAACCTAAATTTTCGTATCATATCATATGCTTATCAAAGCAGGCCTAAGTAAAATTTCTTTGTTATTGTAACGCCAAAGGTTCTTGCCTTAGCCACGCCAAAGATTTGGTGTGGCGGCAGCCCTCGTTGAGAGAGACACGGATCGGACCGAGAGAAAAAAATGCTGTAGGCTTTATTGAGCAGAGTGACAGTACAAAGCTTCCACAGCGTGGAAGGGGTCCCGAACAGTGTTAGATTCTTTGACCATCTTTTAAACTCTTTAACGCAGGAAATACGTGCGGTGGGAAGATGTTACCAGAGCGAGAAACAAATACAATTAACATGTCTCAGATCTTGAGGAAAACTGGAATTGTAACTTAAGTTTTATCTACTTTATGACCTTGCAGCGGCATGGCAAAGGAGACAGGATCTCACAGGATTTTACAAACTGTGTATAAAAGGAATTGGAATTGGGAGGATAGATAAGGTCTGCTGGTCACAGAAAAATGGGCCTAAAATTCCTTTTAGTTTCAGGGGAGGGGGAAGGGAGAGAGGGAGAGAGGACACAGAGAAGCTTATAACAAAATTTTTGCTGTTTATAGCCTTCTTGGGGAAGAAAACACATGAACAAATCCTGGTGTTAGGAATATTTTAAGCATGTATCTTTCAATATTATTCATCCAGGACCAAAGTAAGTCCTGATGCAGGAAATACGTGAGTTTCACAGCTCTCTGAGCCCCTACTCGACCCAGGAAGCCCAGCTGGGCACCTCCTGTCATTGTGTGCTTTTTCTAATGCCTATTATTGACTAGATAATTCAATCAGGAAAAGCAATCCTTTGTTTCTGCTGAGCTATATTCTTTTTTATTGGTTCTGATCTGAAGGACCAAAATAAATTCTTTTTTTTTTTTTTTTTTTTTTTTTTGCTTCCTGCCAGTTGTTTTACTTTATTTTCCATTTGATTCAACACATTCTTGAATTAATTTCTTCTTCGGTCTGTTTGGTGCATTCTGCTCTGATCCTCTATTTCTTGAAAATTTTTAAGCAGGTAACAACTGAAAAAGGAAGTTCATGATTTACATCTATCGCCTGTACCTCAGAATTTTACCATCTACTATTTTCTCATTGCATCGTGTAGTCGAAGCCTTCCTGACATCAAGGCTGGTACCACCAGTGTTTCTGAATCATAGGATTTGCTCCAGTCCTCTCATATAGACTGAACAGGAAATCCTTACAAAGTCTTCACTGCTTCTTATATTCTCTTGCTGGGGACAACTTAAGTGTGAATGTGGTCAGTTTCCTGAGTACAAATGTGCTGTCAAAACTCAATTATAAAAGATGAATACCTGATTTCAACCTATATCCCTTCCCCACCCCAATACTGTTTTAATTGAAAACACCTTTGCAAAAATTTTAACAGTGAGGAAATCATGACAATGAAAGAGATCTTACTGAACTGACTCTTTCTCCTAACCTCTGAGTTGCCCCTTGTTCATTCCTGAACATGGGCACATGGGCTGAACTAAGTTTGAGAAAACCTTAGTTNNTATAGTTTAACTTTGAAACACATATGGTAACAGCCCTTTCCTGAAACAAACTCCGTTTCCTGAAACAAACTCCCTTGTTTCCTGGGGACCAGATTGTCTTTGTAAGACTAACAAATTAGCCACAAGATTAGAAATTACAGTTTAGAAGTCATGTAGCCAGAGGCCACAAGATTCTAATCTCCTCAGTTGCTACTAGTCATAACATCACTATTGCAAAACCTAAGATGGGTGCTTGAGATTTTTTAGACTCTGCATTCTGATGCATTAGCTGGCATCACCCAAAGCCAGTCATCTGACTCAACCAGTTCTGGGATTCCATCCAGGAACAGAAGACAGCAAAAAGAACCCACTTTGGCTCCCTATGACTTCATTTCTGAGACAACCCATCAGCACTCCCCACTCCTTGGCTCCCTACCTGCCAAACTATCCTTAAAAACCCCAGTCTCCAAATTTTCAGAGAGACTGGTTTGAGTCATAAAGCTCTGGTCTTCTGTTCAGCCAACTCTTCATGAGTTAAACTCTTTCTCCATTGCAATTCGTTTGTCTTGATAAATTGGCTCTATCTGGGCAGCAGGCAAAGAGAACCAATTGGGCAGTTAATGCTAACATAAAAGTATCTGGGGAAGAAACCTTAATTTTTCTCTATGATGTTACCTGAAAAACTAAAAAATAAACCCCGAATATACTTACTAATTAGTATCTATACAGTAGCAACTACTTATTCATCTACCACTGGTAACCTACCTAGGTTTGCTGTTTGTCCAGCAAAAAGCAAGATATGTATCTAAGAACATAAATAACTGCTTTGCTACTTTTTCTTCCTTTTTTCCCAACCCCTTGCTTTGTTACTTGCTAGTCTCCAAAACGTGGAGAAACTAATTTCTGATTAGAGATTTTAGGAGTGGGAGGGACTTTCATATACAAGATGCATTTCTACTGCAAATTAAAGGATAAAATTTGAGAAAGATGAAAACAGTAAATATGGAGACAGAAAATTCCAGATAGAAGATTCTAGAACAGGGTTCCCTAACCCTCAGGCCACAGAGCGGTAGCATTAGGAACAAGACCACACAGGAGGAGGTAAGCAGTGGGTGAGCATTACCACCTGAGTTCTGCCTCCTGTCAGATCAGTGGTGGCATTAGATTCTCATAGGAGTGTAAACCCTGTTGTCAGCTGTGTATGTGAGTGATCTAGGTTGCACGTTCCTTATGATCTGAGGTAGAACAGTTTCATCCTAAAACCATCTCCCCAATGTAGTTGTTCGTGGAAAAATTGTCTTCCACAAAACCAGTCCTTCATGCCAAAAAGGTTGGAGACTTCTGCTCTAGAAGACAGTCTGTGAACAGAGATGGAATGCTATGCCATATGCATCCAGATTAGTGAGTACAATCTTAAACCATACAACATAATCAAGGAATTTACAATCAGTGGAAAAAGGCTTATTCTTTTGAATTAATTCTTCATTACAAGAAAATGAACAAACCAAGTGATATTGGCAAATGATTTCAGAGAGAAGTCGATGTCGACCAAAATAATCTCACAAGAACTTTGTAGATGTCTTAAGCCAGTCTTGAATGATGGGTAAGTTGAGGATGGGTTATAGCAGATGAAACCATAGAACTATTTTCCTCTCTTTTTCATGATCTATATATCCCCTAGGATTCTTCATGAAATATAATACTTTATGGTCAAATACATTTCAGAAACACTTTTACTCTTCCCTAATTAATAATCTCCATGAAATTTGGAATATTTTAATTTACAAAATATCCCAGAGAAAATTAACTTTTTCATCTTTAATGTAGTAGTTACTTAATATGTTTGTTTATGCAACCTGCTCCTCCTATTAACTAGTTCTGAGAAACTTTGGAAAAAGCTTCTCTACACTAGATAGCAGAAGCTGTGCAATTAGAAAGAAAAGCTCATAAGAGAAAATAAATTGTAGAGTAAGACAAAACAACTCGTTCAACACATATTTTACCTGGGCCACCTGAATTTTCATTGCCTGAGTCTTATCACTGGCTTTAAAGAAAAAGTGATCAATTCCTTCTGCGGTTTATCATCTTCCCCATTATGAGTTAATGACAAATGAGCCCCTGTGCTTAGGAATGTTATCTCAAATTTTGAACTATAACATTTTACAAGCAGCCATAGTCAAATACTGCAAATGTCTCAAACAAGGCAGCTAGTCTAATGGTAGAGATTAATGTCATTTCCTTATGTCTGGAAATCATTTAATGATGACCCTAAAACTCCAGAGGAAAAAACTTTATTGGATACTGTTAACAATTGGCATAGCAGTAAAACTCCAAGGGGGGTCTTAATTAAGGATACATGCAACTCTCATATCTCTGGAAAAGTTTTGCAGCCAGAAACTTCAAGTGAAGGATTCTTAGGAATACTCAAGTATCAGGCAATCATTCAGTTGAGATCTTAAAATCAAGTGGACAATGGCATGGGGTAGATAGCATCCACCCAATACTGACAAAACAAGATCCAGATGACCAAACACAATGATTTGTAAGGCTTATCTTCTAGATTTGTAAATTTATCTTTCTTCTGTGTTGACTTATGGTTTTAGCATGTTAATAGACACCTGTTATTTTTTAACTATGATAGCTATAAAGATCCTATCCTTAATTTGCTTTGTGAACCCTCAGTCATACCGTGGTTTAAATTGCACACCTGATTTCAGTTTGCTCATGATTTTGCTAAAACATGCAACCAAACCCACTATTGGTTTTGTACTCATATTCTTTTGCTAACAATGGAGTTTATAACTCTTTAACATCACATACATAGAAATGAAGATTACGATTTCTACATGAACAGCACTATGGTACCTTTTGTAGGAGCTAAATTTTGAAAGCAAACTCACACAGAAGTAGAGCCCGAGAACAGATTCAAATGCTCTTTCAATTTTACAGACAGTACAAGGAAGGCTCACTACCTAGGCTCAATCCCTAGCTCCTTTGATTTAGATATACCCAATGAGATCTCTTCTCCAAATTTTATCACTTGACACTAGAACACAAATTTGATGAGTGGGTGCAAAATATTATAATACTATTCAATAATTGCATAGGGTTCTTTTCATCCAAAAATTACCAGTTGGTCAATAGTTAATATACTTGCTTTGCAACACAAAAAGCTATTAGCTACTAATAACAGGGTAGGTAGGGATGGATATCTATAATCAGGGTGATTCCTGATATAAGCTAGGGCATATTTTGGCCTTTCATATTCCTGTCTATGGAAAAATGAGATCCAAAAGTAATTTAATTAAACAATTATAAAAAATGAGCCACACAACTTATTTGCAATAACTTTAACGCCGTAAGGGAAATTTTGCTCTGCTTTCTTTTGCCCCAAAGTCGCTTCATTTTATGCTTTACAAGAAGCCTGAAAATTAGGATAATATATCAGGAAATGGTAAAAGTACTAACAATGTTACTAATACAATAACATTTCTTGCCTAAGAGGTTCATGCATTTGTAAAGTTGGCAATTTAAAATAAATTTTCTTTCAATATAACATTAGCCACTTGGTGTGCAACATATGTTGCCTTAGGAAAAAGTTTGTATTTGTACCACTGTATACCTCTGTGGTATCATTAGTATTACTAAAAATAAACACAAAACTAGAAATAAAACATAAAAGTTAGTAATTTGGTCAAATCTATACTGTCATATTTTGTATGGGAATTTAGTATTGAGAAAAAAATCTGTTCTTAATTTAATTAATTTACTTGTGATATCTGGCTTAGAAGTAGATTAGAGACTCTGATCATACTCTTTCTTTTAGTATTTTTTCTGTTTCGTTGCTAGGAAGTATGATCTCAGATGCTACTGCATCATTTCTGCCCCATCCAAAGATCAACAACTAAGTACCCAACATAAAGAGCAAGAGAATTTGCTTCTTAAAGAGATCAGAAAGGCTATGATCGGAAATTTTACTCACTAACAGGATATATCAAAGTTACCTAGGGAGTCCTATTCCAAGGCATTACTGGATTTATTTTAGGGATGAATAAAATGTTCTAAAATTAGATCGTATTGGTAGCCACACAACCTTATGAGTATATCAACATATCACTAAACTGAATACTTCAAATGGGAGAATTTTATGTTATATGGTTTATAGCTCTACAAAGCTGTTCAACAACTTTTAAAAATAACAGTAAAGGGACCAGGAATACTCTTCTGTGACTCTGTTAAACAATACTGTATCAGGCATATTTTCATATTATATCAATATTTTCGATAATATGAGACCAAACAAACAAAAACATTTAGATATTTCCTCTAGGGAACATTGTTCCTAGAATATAAGACAGAGCACAAACTAAAACTCTTTAGTTAAAATCTCTTTAAAGATTGTATAATAAAATTAGTCTTGTTTCTTATAATTTCAACTTTTATTTTAGATTCATGGGGTACCTGTGCAGATTTGTTACGTGGGCATACTGCATGATGCTGAGATTTGGGGTATGATTGATTCCATCACCCAGGTAGTGAACATGATACACAATATTTAGTTTTTCAAACCTTGCCCCCCCTTTCCTCCCTCCCACTTCCAGTAGTTTGTAATGTCTATTATTACCATATTTATGCCAGTGAGTACCCAATGTTTAGTTCCCATTTATAAGTGAGAATATGTGGTAGTTAGCTTTCTATTCCTGTGTAATTCACTTAGGATAATGGCCTGGAGCTACATCCATGATGCTGCAAAGGACATGATTTCCTTCAGTTATGGCTGTGTAGTTGTCCATGATGTATGTGCACTACATTTTCTTTATCCAGTCTACCATTGTTGGGCACCTAGGTTGATTCTGTGTCTTTGCTATTGTGAATAGTGCTGCAATGAACATATGAAAAATGAATGTGTCTCTTTGGTAGAATGATTTATATTTTTTTATTTAAGTTCTAGGATACACGTGCTGAATGTGCAGGTTTGTTACATAGTATAGATGTGCCATGGTGGTTTGCTGCACCTATCAACCCATCATCTAGGTTTTAGCCCCACATACATTAGGTATTTGTCCTAATGCTCTCCATCCCCTTTCCTCCCACCCCACAACAGGCCCCATTTTGTAATGTTCCCCTCCCTATGTCCATGTGTTCTCATTGTTCAACTCCTACTTATGAGTGAGAATATGCGCTGTTTGGTTTTCTGTTCCTGTGTTAGTTTGCTAAGGATGCTGGTTTCCAGCTTCATCCATGTGCCCTGGCAAAGGACATGAACTCATTCTTTTTTATGGCTGCATAGTATTCCATCTTGTATATATGTCACATTTTCATTATCCAGTCTATCATTGATGGGCATTTGGGTTGGTTCCAAGTCTTTGCTATTGTAAATAATGCTGCAATAAACATACATGTGCATGTGTCTTTATAGTAGAATGATTTATAATCCTTTGGGTATATACCCAGTAATGAGATTGCTGGGTCAAATGGTATTTCTGGTTCTAGATCCTTGAGGAATCGCCATGCTGTCTTCCACAATGATTGAACTAATTTACACTCCCACCAACAGTGTAAAAGCACTCCTATTTCTCTACATCCTCACCAGAATCTGTTGTTTCCAGACTTTTTAATTATTTCCATTCTAAGTGGCATAAGATGGTATCTCACTGTGGTTTTGATTTGCATTTCTCTAATCACCAGTAATGATGAGCTTTTTTCATATGCTTGTTGGCTGCATAAATGTCTTCTTTTGAGAAGTGTCTTTTCATACCCTTCACCCACTTTTTGATGGAGTTGTTTGTTTTTTTCTTGTAAATTTGTTCAAGTTCCTTGTAGATTCCAGATATTAGACGTTTGTCAGATGGATAGACTGCAAAAATTTTCTCCCATTCTGTAGGTTGCCTGTTCACTCTGATGATAGTTTATTTTGCTGAGCAGAAGCTCTTTAGTTTAATTAGATCCCATTTGTCAATTTTGGCTTTTGTTGCAATTGCTTTTGGTGTTTTAGTCATGAAGTCTTTGCCCATTCCTATGTCCTGAATGGTATTGCCTAGATTTTTTTCTAGGGCTTTTATGGTTTTGGGTTTTACATTTGAGTCTTTAATTCATCTTGAGTTAATCTTTTGTGTAAAGTGTAAGGAAGGGGTCTAGTTTCAGTTTTCTGCATATAGCTAGACAGTTTTCTCAACACCATTTATTAAATAGGGAATCCTTTCCCCATTGCTTGTTTTTGTCAGGTTTGTTGAGGATCAGATGGTTATAGATACGTGGTGGTATTTCTGAGAGCTCTGTTCTGTTCCATTGCTCTATATATCTGTTTTGATACCAGTACCATCCTGTTTTGGTTACTGTAGACTTGCAGTATAGTTTGAAGTCAGGTAGCACGATGCCTCCAGCTTTATTTTGCTTAGGAATGTTTTGGCTATATGGGCCCTTTTTTGGTTCCATATGAAATTTAAAGTAGTTTTTTTACTAGTTCTGTGAAGAAAGTCAATGGTAGCTTGATGGGAATAGCATTGAATCTATAAATTACTCTGGGCAGTATGGCCATTTTCGTGATATTGATTCTTCTTATCCGTGACCATGGAATGTTTTTCATTTGTTTGTGTCCTCTTATTGAGCAGTGGTTTGTAGTTCTACTTGAAGAAGTCCTTCATGTCCCTTTATAAGTTGTATTCCTAAGTATTTTATTTTCTCTGTAGCAACTGTGAATGGGAGTTCACTCTTGATTTGTCTCTCTGCTTGTCTATTATTGGTGTAAAGGAATGCTTGTGATTGTTGCACATTGATTTTGTATCCTGAGACTGCTGAAATTGTTTATCAGCTTAAGGAGTTTGGGGGCTGAGATGATGGAGTTTTCTAAATATACAATCATGTCGTCTGCAAATGGAGACAATTTGACTTCCTCTCTTCCTATTTGAATACTCTTTATTTCTTTCTCTTGCCTGATTGCTCTGGCCAGAACTTCCAATACTATGTTGAATAGGAGTGGTGAGAGAGGACATCCTTGTCTTTTTCCGATTTTCAAAGGGAATGCTTCCAGCTTTTGCCCATTCCGTATGATATTGGCTATGGGTTTGTTGTAAATAGCTCTTATTGTTTTGAGATATGTTCCATCAATTCCTAGTTTATTGAGAGATTATAGCATGAATCAGTGTTGAATTTTATCAAAGGCCTTTTCTCCATCTATTGAGATAATCATGTGGTTTTTGTCATTGGTTATGTTTATGTGATAGATTACATTTATTGATTTGCATATGTTGAACCAGCCTTGCATTCCAGGGATTTATATTCTTAAAAATATTCTTAACATCTTGTTTACTGATACTCTTTTCAAGATTCTTATCTCGCTATCCCTATTAATAAAAAGCTATTTTGTTATTTATCCTGCCCACTCACAATAAGGTTCCTACCTTGCAAGACATGCCTTAGTTCTACTTCCATTAATCTCTAAGACCCTTTATTCCTCCATATTTTCCTCATTTTGGTTTTCTTTATTTGATACTACAAGACACAATCAATCTGGCTTTCTGCTTTAATTCATTATGTCTAATCAACTTGATTTTTCTTGACTGACAGTTTTAAGGTGCTCATTTAGAGAGACATTTATTGAGGATTACTGCATGCAAGTAAAAAAAATAGGAATAATTGTGTCACTTGATCTCCCAATATTAGCTTGCACCCTTATCATATATTTTTTTCAAATTACACTTACTTTTCATCTGATAACCAAATTAAATAAATAAATAAATACCTACTCTGTAAAATTTATTTGCTGGTGTTTCCTTTTAGAAATAATTAGCTAGAATCTTTATAATGTTTATAGTATCAAACAATAATTCACATATGTATTATTCCATTCCTTTTTTAAAAATGTTTTACTCACTAGTATACTGATTTTTGACTTTACATAAAGAGTCACAATTAATGGTTTATTTTGCCTACAAGAGTATTTTAATACAATGCATACCCATATAATTGCTAAGAATATGTCTATAGATTTTTTTGTGTATTTAAATTGTAGGCCTGAAGTCATTAAAATATTTAGCCATTTAACTTTTTACAACTAAGCTGTGGGCTCACAACATTTATAGATACCTAGAACTCCAGAATTATAATAGGCCTTATCAGTTTGTTCCTTTCTATAGTTTGTCTTTGATTTTCAAATTGAATTTGAACTTAATTTATATCATGAAACCCCAACTATATCAGAATTATCTGGAAATGTAAAAGGTAATGAGGGATTTCTTAATTTATTTTTCTAAATCATAAAGACTAATATTTAGTCATTAAACAAAATATTCCTTTTATTTTGAGGAGCTATGTTCATTCATAATGTATTCTGAAAATAACTATGTGATGCCACTAATGAAATATCTGCAAATTGTCTATTTGTACATACTATCCACTTATATTACCAGATATTAAAGTGGAAATGTTAGCTTTTCTCTTAGATTTGAAAACTAATAACTCATTGATTCAATTTAATTTCATTTATTTGAATAATATCATGCTAGTACTGGTGTTGGAAGTAAATTAGCTAGACTTGAAGACAATATTAAACTAAACCAGGTAGAATTTGCAAGGGTGAAAGAAACAAAGGAGCAAGAGTTGGCTTCTCCTCTCTTCTCATTAAACCTAAAATAAGGGGCTGTCTAATGGTGGCTGTCTAAGAGGAGCAAAAGCTTACATGAGCCAGCTAGGAGTAGAAAGAGCCAAAGGGAAGGGGCTTAGTTTTCAAAATGTGAACCTTGGACCTGAAGTATTATCTGGAAATTAAGTGGGAACTTGTTAGAAATGCACAGTCTTAGACCCAAACTAGACATTATGAATCAGAATCTGTAGGTGATTCAAATATACACTTATATTTATAAAGAACCATGTTAGATAACGCTGAAGGTCAAGCTGGGTAACAATGAGAACAAAAGGAAATAATGATCTATAACACATTAGAAGCTTGAACACGAGAATAGGCTGCTTTACGTTGCTTTACCATAAGTCCTATGAATGAGCTATGAGCCTTGGCTCCAAGAGAACTGTCCTATGAGTATAGGAGTTCTAATTAGGAGAGTGTGAAGCAAAAACCAGCAGAGTATCTCAAATGGCATCATGTTACACATAAGCCATGAACTATAATTAGAGAAGGTAGCAGGAGTGGATGATATTTGATGATTTTCTAAATATATGATAATTTACATTTGCATAAAGAAAGGCATGCTATTAAAACAGCAAGGCCAAAATCCTCCTTATTTAATTTTCTCATGGTCTCTTGAGAAAAGCTGTTTGATTCAATACCTCTCACATCAATGATTCAAATGAATCCTTTGTAATAGCATCGTTATCGTACTTATAGTCAGAGCAGCCTATGTAACTGGCCAAGGTGAGCAGGTGGGTTGCAGGACATGGACAGCGTAGTGATAACTTTGCTTTTTTGGAGGGTGAATCCTTTGCAACTCTATAGCTTTTGCCCTTAAGACATAGCCTCATTTTCTTGCTCCTGAAATTGCTTCTCTTTATTTACATACTAATGAAGCATCAAAACTGCATCTGGATCCTTTAGTGTCTGCATTTGAGTAATGGTATTAAAAGTATAAAGGTATTTTTTTCTCTCTGTACTCTGTGGTGTATCACCTCGAGATTGCCCATGTTTCTTTGAAATTGTCTTTAATTCTCTCAAGTCACAGAATATAGAAACTATATATAAGCTAAACATGTGAATGTTAATAATAATTTTAAGAGTAAAGCCATTGTCTTGGCTTCAGAATTCATTACTTCATTTAAACATTGCAGCAAAACTACAACATAAGCATTAACTTGAACTTAAAATGAGAAAACTCATGCTCAAACAGGTTAATTTGCCAATAACTACTAAATAGCACAGCCAGAATTTAAAACAATTTTGCCAAATGCTAAAAAACTCCCTCTGACTTCATTGAGGAACTGATTCACTTTCCATGACACAATGGAACAGTTTATAAAATGAGTACCTTACACCTTGTTCAATTTATCCTTTAGTGTTTGTTTTTGCATAAACACTTCTACTCTGTATCTACTTTCCCATATCATCTAATTTTCTCCACTTTATTAATGCTTTAATTCTAAAAACAGCTTCCTCAGAGGGCAGAATCTTAGGAAAAAATAGAATTCAGGCAGATGAATAGATGAGGAGGAACTAACTTCTTTTTAAGTTCTTGGGGTTTGGATAGAGACTTGTGGGCTTTGGATAGCAGTTTTCATTTATTTAAGGTGCTCTAATGAAAGTTCCTGAAGAATTAGGAATGCTAATGACTTATGCTTTTTAACAAAAGGCATCACAATGCTCTCTCACTAATCTTGGTCTAATCTTGCTGTGAGGGTGGGAAGTCTGTTTGCTTTTCAGTATTCTTCCTCCTCCTCCCTCCCCTCCTCCTCCTCCTCCTCCTCTTTTTTTTTTTTTTTTTTCTGAGATTAAATCTCACTTTGTGGCCCAGGCTAGAGTGCAGTGGTGCGATCTTGGCTCACTGCAACCTCCACCTCCTGGGTTCAAGCGATTCTCCTGCCTTAGCCTCCAGAGTAGCTAGGACTACAGATGCATGCCACAACACCCAGCTAATTTTTGTATTTTTAGTAGACATCGGGTTTCCCCATGTTGGCCAGAATTGTCTCCTGACCTCAAGTGATCCTCCCGCCTTGGCCTCTCAAAGTGCTGGGATTACAGGCATGAGCCACCATGGCCAGCCCAGCATCACTTCTTCTATGGATACATAAATACACTATTCTAGTTACGCCTCTGGTTTGAAATTATGAGCCTACCTTGCACCTACCTCCTCTCTTTCGATTTTTGTAGCTCTTCCCATTCCAAAACAATTTTTTCTCTCTGATTGTGTGAATAAAGTAAGACAACAGCAGCTCAGGATTGAGGCACACTGCTTCAGGGACTCATAGCAGAAAGCTATGTGTGGAAAGCAAATTAACATTTCTTTCCTGTTACATTTATTTTTAGTTTTAATATATATTAAGTTAGGATTTCAAATGATTACAAGAGATTGCTTGAGATTTTGTCTTTATCAAGAGAAGTAACTGGCTTAAAAGAGTGAGAAATCCTCATCTACTACATAACATGTTTCTGAGGAACTAGAAGGGATTTCTCAAGAGTCCTAGGATCATAGGGAAGGTGTTAACTGGGCATGGTGGCCTCTGCCTGTAGTCCTAGCTACTCGAGAGGTTGAGGTGGGAGGATTGAGCATAGGAGTTCCAGGTTATAGGAGCATTAGTACATTTTAAAAATCTTCTCATATATTCTCTTACTATTGGACCATGTAAATAATCCAACTGACTCTACCCATTATTACTGCATTTTGTTTTCCTCAGATAAGTTAGTATTTGCTTGACAATATCAACTTGTAAATGAAGAGGTATAAACAAATCATCTTAGTTTCCTCCCCGCCAAACCAGTGGAATAAAATAATATCCTGAATGATTGATACTCTTGCAGAAATACTTTCAGGTAGGAAGAAAATGCAGCTTTTGAAAAATATAACATATTCTTTCTATGCCACAGATGGAGCCCAAATCTATAAGGTGCTTTTATTTTCAATTTGAACTTAAGAGAGGTTTTTGAGATTTAAAAAATGGATAACATAACATACTGCTGGTTGGTAAAACTGTAAATATATATTTTCAATATTTTTATTTTGTTTAAGTTGAGAACTAGATGTTTTATACTACATCATTTTTCAGTTATTTATGCTCATACTTCTACAGGAGAAAGTCATGCACTGACTATATGCGACAACCTCTGAGAATAAAGTTAAGAACAGACACTTTGAGAGACTTAGTAACCTAAACTCTGACAAGTAGGAAAATTCATGGTCTAAGCATGTATGAAGAAGGCTATGCTGTATTTACTTAAAGGATAAACTTGTCTGTAGAGATGGCAAAATACATTGGATATAATTAAATCTAACAGTAATTATTCAGTGTAATAGTGAAACAACACAGATTCCTCCTTAGGTCTTCCTTATCCCCAAAGAACTTGTGCTCAAAGCTCTGAGGAAGGGAAACAACCATCCAAAGATGACATTTTTTAAATATCAAAAGGGAAAATTAGGGAATTACTCTACCAATAATAATAATAATAAATCTACCAGGACTATAATGATTTCACATGGAAATTCTACCAATTTTTAAAACATTAACTCATTTCAATGACCAACAAGTTATTCTATAAAATGTAAAAAATAATACTTCCCATTCTGGTAATAAGTATAACATTACATTTAAATCTGATAAAACAGTACAAAAACCTATAACCATTACCATTCATGTACATCAATTTAAGATATTAAATAAAATATTAGACAGAATTCAATAGCATATCAAGAATAGACTATATCCTGACCAAGTAGTATTTATTATTAGAATTTAAGGTTGGCTTGATATTAGGATCTCAATGAATATCATATATGATATTAATAGAATTAAAGTAAGCTTTAATACAATTACCTCTGTAAGTGCTGAATTCAATACCTACTTCTCACAAAAACATTCAACTTACTAAATAGGAGTTAAGAGATGATATATATTATAATAATTGAAATACTTGCTTTAGGACTAAGAGATACATATATATACACACACACACAAAATATAAAATTACATGTATATGTGTATGTATTCACATTCAACACACACATGCACACTCATATACCTTAATCTTAATTATTGGGGAAATACAGTAGAGGTTTGAGACATTTCCCCTAATGTCAGGAGCAAGGCAAAAATGTTCATACTCTATTACTATTTAAAATTTTAATGGAGGTATGAACCAATATAATTAGATAAGATAAATTAATTAGAAGCATAACAGCTAAAGAGTTAACACCATCTATCTTTACAAGTAATGTAATAGTATGCTTGGAAAACTCTAGAAAAGCAACAATAAAATGATAAAACTAGATTTAACAATAAAAGAATAAAGTAAGTGAGCCAGTAATGAAATAACAAAATTATTAGCCCTCATTTACACATATAATAACAATTGCCAATAGCAAAAAAAACAGATTACCTATTTTGCAGTTAATAAGAAATTTTCAAAATTTAAAGAAGGAAATAACTTTAAAGACTTTTGATAACAAATAGAAAGACATTCTCTGTTCTTAGACAGGAAAAATCAACATTACAAACTTTAAGTTTTTCTCAAGGTTGTTTATAAATGTAATATAATCCCAATTAATACACACATGGATTTTTATAAAGTTAGACAAATTAAAAGTTTATATAGAAAATCAGACATGCACAGATAGTCTAGAAAACACAGAAAAATACAAACTACATAGAAAGATTAGCCATACTGGACATTACAGTATATCATAAAACCTCTGTAATGAAAACATTGTTGTACTGGTCCATGAACAGACAAAACACTGGAATAAAACAGAAAGCCATCACTTAGACCCACTATACATATGGGAATTGAATACAGTCATGCACCACATAAAAACATTTTGGTCAATGATGAACTGTATATATGATGGTTGTCCTGTAAGTTTATAATAGAGTTGAGAGAAATTCCTCTTGCCTAGTGATGTTATAGCCAACGGTTGCATTGTAACACATTACTCATGTGTTTGTGGTTATGCAGGTGGAAACAAACCTTTTGTGCTGCCACTCCTATAAAAGTACAGCACATTCAATTATGTATCTAATACATAGTACTTGATAATAATATTAAACAATTATGTTACTAGTTCATGTATTTACTATACAGTACTATTATTTCTTATTATTTTAGAGTGTACTCTTTCTACTTATTAAAAAAAAATAAACTATAAAACAGCCTCGAGCAAGTCTTCCCAGAAGAAGGCTTCATTATTATAAGAGATGGCAGCTCCATGTATGTTATTGGCCCTCCACAGTGGGACAAGATGTGGAGGGGGAAGACAGTGATGTTGATGATCCTGACCTGTGTATACCTAGGCTAATGTGTGTGTTTGGGGCTTAATGTCTAACAAAAAAGTCTGAAACATTAAAAATTCTTATAGAATAAAGATACAAAATATTTATGTACACTTGTATAATGTACCTGTATTTTAAGCTATGCTATTACAAAATAGTCAAGAAGTTAAAAATTAAAGTTTATAATACAAAGAAGCTACAGATAGCAATGTTTAATTTGCTATTGATGAAAGAAATTTTTAAAATAAATCTAGTGTGGCCTAAGTGTACAGTGTTTATGAAGTCTACAGTAGTACACAATAAGGTCCTAGGCCTTGACATTCACTAACCACTCATTCACTGAATCACTCAGAGCAACTTCCAATCCTGCAAGTTCCATTCATGGTAAGTGCCTTATACAGTGTACTATTTTAATCTCATATATAATGCATTTTCTCAGTGCTCTTTCAATGTTTACCTATGTTTAGATATAAAAATACTGTTGTGTTACAGTTGCCTACAGTATTTAGTACAGTAACACACTGTATAGGTTTGTAGCATAGGAGCAATGGGCTATATATATAGTCCAGATGTGTAGTAGGCTATACATATAGTCTAGATGTATAGTAGGCTATACCATCTAGATTTGTGTATGTACCCTCTATGATCTTCACATAATCATGAAATTGCCTAATGATGATACTTTTTTTTCAGAATGTATTTGTTGTTAAGTGACACATGATTGTATATGATAAACTTAGTATCTCAAGATATGGTGGCAAGAATAAACTGTAAGATGGTGCTGGAGCAACTGGATAACCTTTCAGTAAAAGATAAACCGAGCTTCTCTCCTCAACACATACACAATAATAAATACTTAATATGTTAGTTAACTAAATCAAATATACAAAATCATCAGCTCTAGGAGGGAAAGAAGTGAATTTATTTGTAATCTCAATGTTTTATAAAGCCTTACTTATTTTAACTCCCAAATCACAAACATACGATTGATAAATTTGACCACATATAGTTATCGGGGGAACCAGCTCCCAATATTTCAGTGTAGGTTCTTTTCTATTTTCCCTAAGTGTCGGCCAGTCTGAGAAATAAAGAGAAAGAGTACAAAGAGAAATTTTACAGCTGGGCCTCTGGGGGTGACATCACATGTCAGCAGGTTCTGTGATGCCCCTTGAGCTGCAAAACCAGCATGTTTCTATTAGGGATTTCAAAAGGGCAGGGGGATACGAACAGGGGGCAAGTCACAAAGATCACATGCTTCAAAGGGCAATAAAAGATCACAAGGCCAGGGCAAAATCAGAATCACTGATGAGGTTCCATGTCTCGCTGGGCATGTGTTGTCATTGATAAACATCTTAACAGGAAACAGGGTTCAAGAGCAGACAACTGGTCTGACTAGAATACTCCAGGCTGGAATTTCCTAATCCTAGCAAGCCTGAGGGCACTACAGGAGACCAAGGTGTATTTCATCCCTTAAATTCAACTGCATTAGACAGACACTCCCAGAGCGGCCATTTCAGAGACCGCCCCCTGGGAATGCATTCCTTTCCCAGGGTTATTCCTTGCTGGGAAAAGAATTCAGTGATATTTCTCCTATTTGCTTTCTGCAAGAAGAGAAATATGACTCTGTTCTGCCCGGCCCTGCAGGCAGTCAGACCTTATGGTTATCTCCCTTGTTCCCTGAAAATCACTGTTATCCTGTTCTTTTTTAGGATGCCCAGATTTCATATTGTTCAAACACACATGTTTTACAGTTTGTGCAGTTAACACAATCATCACAGGGTCCTGAGGCAACATACATCCTCAGCTTATGAAGATGACGGGATTAAGAGATTAAAATAAAGACAGGCATAGGAAATTATAAGAATATTGATAGGGGAAATGATAAATGTCCATGAAATCTTCACAATTTATGTTCTTCTGCCGTGGCTTCAGCCGGTCCCTTCGTTTGGGATCCCTGACTTCCCGCAACATATAGTGACACAAACTTTGCATAACAAAAAATTAGGCTAAAAGGCAAAAAAATACCTGTCAAAGTGAAAGGAAATGTTTGCAACATATAGTTAAGACTATGGGCTAACATTAGTGTGTATGTATCTGTATTTACACATATATCTTATAATTTGATGGATGAAGTACAAAGGAACAAAAACTGAATAGGAAAAACACATAAGATAATTCTCAACAAGTTTATGAAAATACCCCAATCTTATTTTTAAAACTCCAATTTATTCATAATTAGATAAATACAGATTAAAATCATACATATACACAATTTCTCTCCTAATCAGACTGCAAGAATGTATGACAACACATTCTACTGGTGAGGCTGTAGGGAAGTAGGTATTTTCCAAATTATCTGATAGAAAACAGGCACCATACATCTGGAGAAGAATTTGATAGTACCTAAAAATATCTATGTATGCACATAACCTTTTAGCTTAGTAATCTTACTTCTAGGAAAGTACCCCCCTGAGAATACATTTTTAACAATACAAGGATACTTATGCACATAGATATTTATTGCAGTATTGTTTAATCCACAACAATGAAAACAACCTAGGCACTCATACATAAAATAGATGATTAAACTATGCTAGATCTACACAGTGGATTACTTTACAGCTATAAAAAAGAATGATAGAGCGGATGCGGTGGCTCACGCCTGTAATCTCATCACTTTGGGAGGTCTAGGTGGTGGATCACCTGAGGTCAGGAGTTGGAGACCAGCCTGGCCAACATGGCAAATCCCTGTCTCTACTAAAAATACAAAAATTAGCCAGGTGTGGTGATGGGTACCTGTAATCCCAGCTACTTGGGGAGGCTGAGGCAGGAGAATCGATTGAACCCCTGGAGGTGGAGGTTACAGTGAGCCGAGATCGTGCCACTGCACTCCAGCCTGGGTGACAGAGTGAGACTCTGTCTCAAAAAAATAATAACGAAAATATGTCTGAACTGAGGTGGAATAAACTTCATAGTATGCTAAGTTTAAATTAAAAGGAAAGTACAAAATGGTCAGTGTTAGACTGGAAACAAATAAATACATGACAATACCCTTGTGACTACTCATTTGTGCAACAGAAATACAGGACTACTCCAGAAACTAATGAGATGAATTACTAGTAGAAAGTACTTGGGAAGGGGGTACAAAAATGGGGACATGGGAATGACTAGTAGGAATAATGAGGGAGTGACGTAAACCTCCTTGTTCAGCTTTAACTCTTAGAGCTATATAATGTTTCACATATTCAAAACATATGTAAGTAATTTATATCAACCAGAGTGTAAGGTAAATAGAACTCAAAACATAAAAAATGATCCTAAGATTGTTACAAGTAAACTAACATAACCACAGTGAACAAGGTGAGGAAGAAATGAACTTAGTAAACTTTAGCCTTAAAACATCAAACATTTTCTTATAAAGATAAAAATAACTATATGCAAATATTATACCATAGTTGTACATTTACATTTTATGTGATTTATAAGATAGACATTCTGAAACTTCTCAGTGTGTATATAAATTTGTAAGTAAATATACTATGGTTAACGAAACTTGGATTTCTCACTGTAGGCAAAAAGAAATACAAATAAAAAATTACAAATAAGGAAAGGAAGAAGCCTAGAATCATCTGTCTTGTAGGATTGGAATTCAGGTTATCAGTAAGAACCCATGGATGGATGTAGAAATGTGTATATGGAAGTATATTCGTTCTCTATTGCTGTATGACAGCTTATGATAAATGTTTAAAACAATACACATTTACTATCTCAAGTTTCTGTGGGTCAGTAGTCCAGGAACGCCTAGGCTGGGTCTTTGCTTTATGATCTTACCTGATTGGCTGGAAGCATTCTTATCTGGTGGTTTAACTAGAGAATAATCTGCTTCCTATCCCATTAGATTGTTGTCAGAATTTACTTCTTTGTCATGGTAGAACTGAGAGCTTTAGTTTTTTACTGGCTTTTGACAGTAGTTGTTTTTAACTCCTAGAGCCCGCCTGGAGTTTCCTGTCATGTGTACTTTTCATTGGCAGTTCACAACATGGCAGCTTGCTTCTTCAAGGCCAGTAGAAGGAAAATCTGCTAGCAAGATGGAGGCTTATATAACATCACACAATCGTTGGAGTAACTGACTTCCCATCACCTTTACCATATTATGTTAATTAGAAGCAAGTCACAAGTCTATCTACATTCAAGGGGAGATAGTTACACAAAGGCATGAATGCCAAGAGGTAGGGGTTGGAAGTGGTGCATCTAGAATTTGCCTATTGTCTGCAAATATAGGTACACATGCATATATTTACTAGGCCTGTCCACTGAAAAGCGATAACAGTAAAATTAGTATAAAAATTGGTAACTTTTCAATTATAGCTAAAAGATTGACTTTTCTCTAAAAACAAAAACTTAAGATGGTCTCTGTCTTCAATGAGGTACAACTTCTTTTGGTGGGCTGTTTCCCTCTACCACTCTACAGCAAATGAAATTTATAAAGCACTGATCTGGCTTAGTTTGATATATCATATATTAAAAGTAATGACTTTTTATTCATGTATGAAAATCATTTTACAAAATATTTATGATATTAAATTTAAATGCTTTAACTTATGTGGTTAATATAGTTCTTTAAATTTGTAGCTGAAGAAAACTAAAAAATTTTTAGCAAATGCTCTTCTCATTGTATGGAACTATATTTCAATGCAAATTTTTATGAATCATGGGAGACATAATTACTTTAGACATGTAGAAACTACGAAAATAACTCAATAAAATGATGCAGCATAAAGCAGGAATAGTTCTTCAAGCATTACCAGAAACAAGGGTGGTGGAGGTCAAGAGTTCAAAAAAAGTCATAGTTATATCAGAATCTGAAAGAAATTAGGTGCAAGAGAAGGGAAAAATAGAGGCAAACCACATAATTGTCATATTAATTAGGGATAATGTCAAGGAAACAGTTGATGACTGCTCGTATGGCAAGCTAACTAGCAAAGGTTATAGAAGATCTTTTAGCAACATAATATCTTGCACGCATGTAATTTATTTTTGAATTCTACAATTTCAACAAGCTGGCATCTTGTTCATCCAAAATTGTCTTAGTAATATGAAGTAAATATAGAACAATTTTTAAGGGAATATTTATGTCTGGCTGTGTACATTAGCCATAGCATAACAAATTAAAAACTAATAACAAAGATGATCATTTAGTAGCAAAACCGCAAGAAGCAAATAAAGGACAAATCAACATAAAATTTTCTAATCGACAATTAAAAAAATAGGGTCAGCATGTGTGCTATTTCAAAATTTTAAAGAGCCTTACACTCACTATAAATTACAAACTTTACCAAAACATTTTTTCTGTAATATTTACAGATGCAACTTGTTAATATGTATTACATTTCCCACCTAGAATAAAACACAGTTTTTACTGTTTTTAAAAAAAATCTATTTGTTAGGGTTCCATTACGGAAATATAATTATTATGAGTTGCTATGGTCTGAAGGTTTGTGGCCACACAAAATTTATTTGTTGAAATCTAATCCGTGTGCAGTAATATTAAAGGTGGGGCTTTTAGGAGGTGATTAGGTCGTGAGGGCAGAGCCCTCATGAATGAGACTAGTGTCCTTATGAAAGAGGCCCACAGGAGGTTGCTTGACCCTTCTACCATGTGAGGACACAGCAAGAAGTCATCTTCTGTGAACCAAGAGCTTTCACCAGACACTGAATCTGTTGGCACCTTGATCTTTGGCTTCCCAGGCTCCGGAATCATGGGAATAAATTTCTACTGTTTATAAATTGCCAAGCCTAAGGTATTTTTATAGCAGCCCGAACAACCTAAGACATAAGTACAATGGAAAAATTAAGTTATTGAAAGAATAAAGCCTACGCTTGTGGGAAAAGCAAGTGTGTCAGAAGATAGAATTTGAAGATCAGACAAAAGTCAACTAACTTTTGTTCCCAAAGCCAGGAACGTTGAATTCCCATAGTGGAAACATAAAGGAGAAGTGGTGAAGTCCATGGAAGACTGTTGCCTCTGCATTTGTTGGTGGGCCTGGGGTCACTTTTTCTATCAAGGCTGACAGTTGGGAAAAAAAAGAGTGATGTGGCCCATGGGACAGTGAGAAGAAGATGAAATTCATCATGGTCTGCATCTGACAATTGCTGTCACTGATCATGATGACATACTGATAGTAAAATTTGTTTGATCTTTCTAAATCTCTCTAAATCTCAACAATTGTATTTTTAGTCAACTCAGAACATAAAGGAAAGAAAATTCTTTGGGACTGTGATTCCAGCTTAGATAAGTTGATAAATTACAAAGCACTATGTGATTGACATGCAAGAAAAAGGAATCCCATGGAAAATGTTATTTATAAATTCCTATGGTAACACATAGAACCTTTGTATTGCCGTTTTATCTTCACTAATATTAGATATCATCAATGCAAATGACAAGTATTTTACTGTGAGATTTCCAACTTTGCAATTAAAACCAACTTTTGCAATTGCAAGGGAATATATAATATAGTTACCTTTTAATTATTTTTAGTATTTCATAAATATACTGTATAGATCTCACCACAAAATCATAGTTAAAAATTATATTCAGTAATTTACTTTCTGTATTCAGAATGTTACTAGTGATGATGACACATAGTAAAGAAGGAAAAGAAATGTAATTTGAAATATCAGCATATTTTTGTCTAGAGTTTTGTCTAGATTTTGTCTACAAGCTAGCTATGCTGCTTGTACCAACACAGGGCAATCAAGTGAAAATGAAAAAGTTTAAACAAGTATCTTACATGACTGGTGCACAAAAAAAATTGTAGTTATTTTTCATTGATATTACTATTTTTCTGAAATGACTAGAGTTTTAAGTTCACATACCTGAAATCTGGTTTTATGTTTGCTTTCTTGTGGTTACAAGTTCTATCAGCATAATATTTCAGAAGATAAACCATAACTTCAAAGCAATGATATTGACCAAAACATCTGACAAATGTACCTCACAGAAGTTTCTGTTTGCACTAAATGAAAACTATTCAAAACCCATTTAAATGCACTGTCAGCCTTTTATACATTGTATAGCACTTTGTATTTCAGGTTTATGAATATATGCTCTTCCATTTTATAAGAAATAAAAGTGGAACTAAGAGCTGGTATTTCAATTTTCAAGAGAGTAATACTGTAGGGTACAGGATTTGACAAGCTTCCTGTAACTCAAGCTTTTCCCAATCTAATATGCTTACTCTTGCTGGAAGAAAGAACCCTAAATATCTGTATTTATTAAGCCTTCTAAGAAACTATTCAAATAAATACATATTTAAAAGTTTCAGTTGAAGACTGACATCCACATGTTAGAGGTTATCACTTCTTTTCTTTTCTTTTTTTTTTTTTTTGGAGCACTGGGAAATGCATGGTTGTAGCCGTGCTGCCTTTCTCAGGCACATTGCTATAATGTCATGGATTTAGGTCCCCAAACTTATTTGCAAACGTTATGGGCTTATTGTGGATTTTACAGTAAGATTTCTTGATAAAGGTGAGGTATCAAAGGAACACTTTCGTCCTGATAACTCACTAAAGTGAGAGAAAAGAGCTTTTTATATGATATATATTGACAAGGACATAGCTGGAGATGGGACAAGGTCAGTGACATCTTGGAACTGCAAAGCAGAAGTAGGGATTGACTGACTTCACAGGTCTAAGAAAGCTGAATCCTGAGTTAATTGTACCGTCCCCAAAAGGCCCTGGAATTGGTAACATCCAGGATCTCTATAAGTGTTGGATAAAAGAGGGTTGTCTTAAAGTCTCATTAAAGACCACGTGGAAGACAGGGCAAAGTGAAAACTTATATAATGAATATTGAACTTTTCCGCTGACATAGTTTGAATATATGTTCCTGACAAAGCCCATGTTGAATTGTAATTCCAATGTTGGAGGTGAGGCCTGGTGGGAAGTGTCTGGGTCAGGCCAGCAGGTCTGTCTTGGCCTGCTGCTGTCCTCATGATGGTGAGTTCTAATGAGGTAAAAATATCTTCTTCAAGGAGGTGATATTTGTGCTGAATCTTGAAAGGTGGTTGTGTTTACATGCAGACTAGGCAGAATGGGGATTTTCAAGATTTTAGGAAAAGATAAAAGAATATGTGAAAGGTTCAAAATGCATTGTTGGAGGAGCTGCATAGAATTAGTGTTCATTCTTCCACTAAACCAAGACATATGGTTGGTCACCCATCAGCAGAGAGTGCACATCAAGATTTATGACATGAAATTTCAAAAGACAATAAAGCCTTGGGATTTGGTCAAGACATTTCCTGGAGGACCTTGAATGACATATTAACAAGGTCAGCTTTTAACCAGTGAGGAGCCTACATCTTTGCTTCCAATAAAAGAGTATTGTCATGTGAAGGAAAGCATTTTAGTAAAAACTGTACTGGGATCATAACTTCCTAAAGCAGTATTTTCATGCTTTATTTCCCCCTTGCTTGACTTTTTCTCTTCCAGTACTTTTCTCAATACTCTGGGAGAACACAGCCTGTATTAAAAATGCTTTTACTGTTGAAATGAAATAAGTCACCTCTACAGTTCTTAAAGCGCTAATGCAGCAATTCATAGTCGGAGATTATTTCTGCACACCAGGGTTTTTGGCTGGAGAACATGTTTCATAATTGGTCTTGGCACAATGTAAGACATGTGAGTAACTGATAAATGATAAAGGCCTGGAAAGACTGTACCTAAACCACCTCTGCTCTTAAGTAGAGCAGCTGAGGGAAAGGGGAGCGGTGTCTCCAAATCCAAACTGTGGCTATGGCACTTATAAGATTTCCTTCAAAGTGAGCAGAACACATATGGTGATCAGGGAATAATGTGTGTAATTATATGGGTGACATGAAAAAAAGTTCAAAGGAAAAAGCAAGTTTCTTTACTGTGTGTAAGACAGATATACTAAAATATCAATCAAGCAATAATTAATGTACCTGTTAAAATGTAGTTGAAAAATAATAGGGCAATAAACAGTAACTAAAAATTACACTCTAATATCTCATGAAATGCATCTCATATAGATGACTTTTCACAAAAGGCAAATTTCATCCAGTTGAAGGAATATATATTTCATGCTATCTTCTGTAAAAGAATAGCACCTTTTAGTGGTCAAGGATATATGAAAAGCAAAGGGTGAAATAGTAATAGTGATAAAATCCTTTCCTTTGCTTGTCACCTCAGGCAGCAAGGGGTTCTATAATTTATGTAGTCCTGTAAGTAATACGAAAAAAGCGAGTACATTTTGAAGTTATGAGAGTAACAGGTGCTATCTGAAAGCTCTAGCTGAAAATGATGCAATATCAATTCTATATACAAATTAGAAAAATGACAGATTTTTGTTTCCTAGTGGGTGGTTGCTTAGAAATAATTTTGCAGGATTGAGTAATGTTTTGGATAAGCACCAATGAATTTAGAGCCTCATCCAATTAGTCAAATGTCTCCTAAAGAAAACCAAGGTTCAAAGAGTCCCATGAGAACGAATGAAATGATGACAGTGCCACAGAGACTCCCGCAATTCTGGTGAGCACAGATTTGTTTAAACCCTCTAAGACCTTTAGGAATCTAGGTCAGCCTCCTGATGAGATGTAACTGCAAACTGAAACTCCACTAAACATCTTTTGGGACTATCATGGGATGCCTATTATTTATGTATTTTAAACTAATAAGATCAATGGCTGCAGTGAATAATAAAATTCAATGGCTGCAATGAATAATAAAATCATAACATTTACCAAACATTAGTTTTCTGTTTCTGTTTTCAGTTAATTATGAAAACATCAAATTTACTGAACTAGACTATTTCATAGAACAGCACAAAGCAATTGATTCTGAAATGGCACATTGCCTTTACATTACTCACATAGGTTTTCAATGACTTTCAGACATTCTTGCTTTTTCTTTATGGCGCAGTTTATTTATCATAAAGAGTTTACTGCATAGTATGGCTAAAAGATTGAAAATTGTTTAGTTATTATGAACTTTTCACATAGGATTAATATTTCTAATATCAGGAATGAAAAAAATTAATCAAGTCATTCTTAAGCATTTAGGAATCATAGACTCCTTAAAATCTGATCAAAGCAGTGGATCCTTTCCCATACCAACCTTTATCTACCGCTGAGGCTTCTCCTTTTCGCTCAGGACAGATGCAACTTGCTTGTCTGATGCCAAGTGCAACTCACTGTATGATGGGTGTGGATTCTGGGCCAAGCTACATTAAATGAGTAGCTTAGCTTAAACTCCAATTTAGGCCTAACCTTAGACATGAAATTCTAGTCTCATAATTCCTAAGTTGGTGGTCTTCCTCATGCTAGGCTACCTTCAATAATTCCAAAGCCAATTCTCTCAACTTTTAAATCTTTGCACAGCCATGGCATGCATATAATCATATTTACACTGTTATTGTGATGCCTTTGTCAGCTTTTGATTAAGCTTTTTATCAGCATCTGTTCTTTGTGACAGTAGCCCCACTCTTTATGGTGTCTTCTCAGATAGTTTTTCTTTATTATTTTGATGCTTTTGGTTTTCTAAGCTGGTGACAGTATTTCTATTTTTCTTAGGTCTATATGAGTTTTGGGTTAGGTGTCAAATAATTCATAAGCTAATGGATATAGGTGAAAATTGTTTTCCACAATCTATATACTACATTACAAACGTATATATTTATAAGAATAAATTTTAAAAGGGCCTTAAAGCATCAAAGGAACCAAACTGAGTGTTTGAGGGTCTTCTTTGGTATGACTTATTTTGCAAAGTTTCAGAATTTTTTGTTTTTAATATGAATTTTAAAAAATAATTTTAGGTAGAGTCCATTTAAATAACCTTTCTTCTAGACTGTGAGGCACGTTGTTTTAAATTTTTATTTTATTTTTAAATCATAATTTAGTGTTTGTCCCTCCGATTTTAAATGCTATAAAAATTCTTCAATAAAAAAATGAATTACAAATTGTCGAGTGTGCTGTGTACAGCAAGCTTAGACGAATAAGGAAAAAAATCTCATAATTCTTACTGGTTTGTTTTTTCTTCTTTCTCCCTTTAAAATAAGTCCTATATACTAGGGATAAATCATACACTCACAGCTCTGAGTGACATAATAGCTACTGAATCAATGTTGAATCGATAAAGCTGTATAGGTGAGGAATACAGAAACAAAGTATCCAAATAGCCTGCATTACGCTAATTTTACACATGTCTAATGATTTTGAGTCATTATATTTGCACTGGATTTCATGTAATTTTAAAAATTTAGAATGGAGATGCGATAATCACTAATCATATGTCCATACTAAAATGACAGTTTTAAGAAACTGCTGATGAGTCTGATTTAACATAAAATCCCTTTATTTCTAGAAAAGCAACAACTTCATTAAAAAATTGAGGATTGTTTTCAGTTAAAAGTTGTTAATATTGTATAAGCATAAACTGAATTAATTAATTTTCTTGGAAATAGTAAATGAGTGAATTTCGCAACTGAATCCATTTCTACTGAAAATTTCAATTTGAATAGAATTAAGAGATAGAGAAAATATGGAACAGGTGGTTTCTGTCTGGATATCTGTTTTAAGTTTAGATATTTAACTAGATCTATTCCAAAGCTATGTAGGTATGCTGAGTCACGAATCTGCACATCAAAAATTAGCAGCAAAACATGTCTTCAAGGTAGCAAACAAGAAATAAGTCACCTCTCTTAGGTCAGGAAGCTAGAGTTGGTAACTGTTAGGTTGATAGTCACATGAAGAATACATCAAAACTACCCAATGATCATTTGCTTTAGCTTCAGACTGACTTATGTTGCAATAAAATTGAACAATACAATGTGATGGGTGGAAAGGGCCTGAAGAGCTTAAAAACAAAGTTATTATGTACGTATCATATGCATTATAAGTAATATCTCATTGAATACTTAAATTTAGAAGTTAACTTTTATTGCTATCCTCATTTCACAGATGAGGAAACAGGTTTAGAGATTATAAATGATGCTCCCAGGTAACTGATGGAGCCAAATGTTGAAATACGTTTGGTTTGACAACAGAATATCTGTTCTTATGCCTCTACTGCGGTTTCCTGACCCTTTCATTGTAGGAAACCACACTTGAGAAACCAAGGATTACAAAGTTGTTTCACAAAGGTAATTAGTGCCAGAACAGTGACTCGGTTCCAAATTCTCTGACCCCCTTCCTGCCCCATCCACACCAGTCTGTCTTTAGATAAGAAAATAAAAACTAATTAAAAAGCAAGCTTTTCTTATATTTCCATAGGTAGAAGACATAATTTTATATGAATCATTGATGGTCCAGAGTTTACTTTGGGTAGTAAAGTGGGCAGGATGCCTACTGTCTGATGATCAATTTCCCAGAGGGAAATGATTATAAAATGTCATTATTACAAAGATTCAGAAGCTGTGCCAATACTCTCCTGCAACACACTTTCATTGTCTTCAAAACAGACTACTGATACCTTGAAGAAAATAAAAGTTCATTCTCAGTGTTTACAGTCTCTCTCTGCCACTTTTCATGATGTATTCTCTATTTTTGTTTCTGTTTCTTGCTTTTTATTAAAATCGGATCCCAGCAAAACAAAAAGTAACATGGGACACTTTGGTTTTCAACTTTGTTCATAGTCAGCATATCATTGGATCTTAATAACAATCACATAATAGAAAAAGTTTTATCTCCATATGCTGAGTGAAAAACAAAAGGCCTAAGTGCCAAAGTGATTGACCATACATTTTACTTTCCCTTGGATAGTTTTGGTTTGTGCCTATTGTTCCGAAGCAATTTTTATTAAGGTTACTTTTCCCTTTTAAAAGTGTACTCATTTGGAGGATACCCTACTTTGATGGCATTATTGAAATAATTCACGTTATTATCCTCCCAGAGTTATCAAATTTAATGCTTATTATTATGTAAAAGAATTTGAGGAATCAAGAGGCAGTAACTGACATCCTGAACTACTTTTGAGATCCAGCCAAGTCCCCAAACCTTTGTGCTATTTATTGCAAGTAACAGAAGTTCAAGTATTCTTTCCACCAAGTGAGAAATTTAATATTGCTCACATAACTAAGATATTTAAAGGCAGGAACCTATACTAAGCACAAATAAAAATCAAACCAAACCTCAAATAGTATCTTTCTCTGTCCCTTTCTCCCTTTCTCCTCTGTCTCTCACCTCTGCTTTCTTCTGTATATAGACTACTTTAGTGTGCTGACAAACATCACAAGCAGCTGCAGTTTATATATATAAAACAATGAATATGTTGTAATCATTGGTACTAGCCTAACTTTTGGCGCTGCTGGCATTGAGAGAGGAGAAGGTTTACTTCCCCAAATAAAAATAAGAAGGAAGAATGGATTATGTATCTTGACAAGCAAACACAATAGTTGCTTACTATTCTGTGTCTTTGTTGAATTAAAAAATTACATGAGATGGAAGTTGCAGTCTTAGATGTGAATCATTTTCTTACAAATTACATGATTAAAATTTTACCATGGTAAATTCCATTCTGGAAGGGAAACGAAATAGTAGTTATTTCTCAGATTTGTGAGTAGACTACTGCAGATACACTTTCCCTGAGATATAAGTTGTGCATAGTTCTCTGAATTTAATTGAACATAACATTCTCCCTTGGCAATTGTTTAACATTCATTCTCTTAAGATGTAGTTAATAATTACTGTGCAGTCCATCCTAGGTCATATGATTCACATCCAGGCCTGGCCAGAGCTGCCCACTTTGGATAAAAGTAACTGAGGATAAATGTATGATTATAAGCTCTGGAGGAACTGTGTCTTTATTTTAGCCATTTTTAGGCCCCTTGGTTCATCCTGAATTCTGCCAACTCTTCCACCATGCATCATCCCAATAGGTGAATAGGAAATACTTGTTAAACTAAAAAATAGCTTAGGTCTAGTAGTTTATTTTGATGCAAAAAGATTAAAAAGATGCTACACTATTCTAGGGCCAGTGTTACATTTTATAGAAACACTTAACAGTAGCAGGATTTTGTTGCTTTCTTGTTGCTAAAATATTAAGCAGTTTATTCACCTTAGTGGTGATTTATAACATATAGCTAATTCATTCATTTATTCATATAACACTGCTATAGTTTGAATGTATTCTCAAAAGTTCAGATCCTCAATGTGGAAGTGTTGGGAAGTGGGACTTAATGAGATGTCTTTGGATCATGGGGGCAACCCCCCAATACAGATTAACACCCTTCTTATGGAAGTGAATGCATTATGACAGTGGGTTAGAAAAGGATAAGTTTGGCATCCTCCTCTCCCTTTATCATACCAATGTTATGCCTTCTGCCATGTTGTAACACAGCAAGAAGGCCCTTGCCAGATGCCAGCAACTTGATCTTGAATTTTCCAGTGTTTGTAATTGTTAGCCAATAAATTTTTGTTCTTTTTAAATTACTTACTGTGTGGTATTCTGTCATAGCAGCATAAAAGGGACTAAGATAAAAAATGGTACCAGAGAGTGGAATGTTGCTATAACAAATACCTGAAAATAGGTGTCTTTGGAACGAGGTAATAAGGAAAGGCCAGAAGAGTTTGAAAAAACAGTGCCAGAGAAAGCCTGTATTGCCATGAATAAAGCATGAAGGGCAATTCTAGTAAGGGCTCAAAAGAACTAGGATATCAGGTGGAAGAAATCTCTAATGAGCAAAATGTTGAAGGAGCTACATGGCTACTTTTAATTGCATAGGGTAAAGATGTGAGAGGAGAGAGAAATGATTTAAAGACAAAATTTATGATCAAAACAAATGTAGAGTGAAAAGACTTGGAAAATTTACATCATGGCCATGTAGAGAGTGAAAAAGCATCTTTAGGAGAGCACATCAAAGGTTTGGCCAACTCACTGTTTGCTAAAGAGATTAGTACCTTTAGAAAGGAGCCAGGACCAGAAGCAGTGGCTCATGCCTGTAATTCCAGCACTTTGTGAGGCTGAGGTGGGTGGATCACTTGAGGTCAGGAGTTGAAGATCAGCCTGGCCAACATGGTGAAACCCCATCTCTACTAAAAATACAAAAATTAGATGGGCATGGTGGTACATGCCTGTAGTCCCAGCTACTCGGGAGGCTGAGGCAGGAGCATTGCTTGAACCCAGGAGGCAGAGGTTGCAGTGAGCCAAGATCATACCACTGCACCCCACCCTGGAAACAGGGTGTTACTCTTTTCTTTATATCTGTTTTTCCCTTTGGGAATGTAAATGTATAGCCTATGCCTGCCCCACTATTGCATTTTGGATTTGTTTGATTTCACAGACTCGATGGCTGAAGTGAATTTGCCTCCGGATAAATTATGCCTTGAGTTGAACCCATATCTGACATAATGAGATTCTGGACATTGGACCTTTGAGTTGCTGCTGGAAAAACTCAAGACTTTGGGGCCATTGGGATAGAGTTAATATATTTTGCATGTGAGAAGTACATAAATTTTGGAGGCCAGAGGTATAACACTATGGTTTAAATGTGTCCCCTAAAGTTCATGTGTTGGAAACTTGATCCCCAGTGCAGAGGTGTTGGAAGATGAGGCCTAATGGGAAGTGTTTGGGCCATGGAGGCAGCACCCTCATAAATGATTTCATGACTTTACTAAAGGAATAGCTTCCTCATAAAAGGATATATTTGGCTCCCCCTCCCTCCTCTTGCCCTTCTGATGCCTCTCTTTAAGTTAGGACCCAATAAAAAGGCTCTCATCAGGTTCCAAAGGTTTAATCTTGGACTTCCCAACCTCCAAAGTCAAGAGTCAATAAATTTCTGTTTATTTTAAATTACCCAGTCTGTAGTATTCTGTTACAGCACCAAAAAATGGACTAAGACAAATACATATTTATTGAGTGTCACTATTGTGCCAAACTCCAGGTTATCTAGTTTCTTCTTAGATTCTTGCTAGTTTAAGAGTAGAGCTAACCTTTTTTTTTTTTTTTTTTTTTTTTTTTTTTGCTGTACTGAGAAACATGTAGCAAGAAAATGTGGCAAATATTCTTAATCAGAAGTGAATATCTATTGCAGTCTCATAAGAAGCTTCATCACAAAACTATTTAATCTAAACTCCCAAAATTTTATGTCTCAGAAAGTCTGGGGAAAATATGAGGGATGCATAATTTTAACACATTCTTCAGATTATGCTTGCCATATACCGTGATGAAGCCTGGATACTTTATTTGAAGATACTCCAGCTGTAATAGAATCTAAAACGTGCTCTATGGGTTATAAGGCAACCAAATAGCCTGATGCACAAGCCAACACTCAGTTCAGCTGCATTATCTGGTGTTTGAAGTGGTAGTGGGATCTCATCAGAGATGCGATTGGAGGTGGCCCAGAACTTGTGGAAACCTGAAATTTTTCAGAACGTGCAGTCAAGGGAGAGTAGGAATTAATGCTACCTTTTGTTTTGCTATGATTAAATTCCTGCCATTTTTAGTTTGGACATAACACATTTCCTAAATGTTAGATTATGTAGGCAAACAGTAATGATGAAAGGTCAATAAAATATTATTTTGTCCAGGGGCCTTACAATAATCTGTCATTGGAATTAAAATATCTTCTCCTCCTTTCTTTTCCTATCCCTTTATTTAAAAGCGACAAAAACTGAGACTAGTTTAGGAAAAACTAGAATTTAATGAATCATGTAATTAGAAAACAGGGACATAAAAAAATGTTTTTTTCTGTCTAGGCCTCATTTCCACCTTTTTATTGCAGAAAACCTTTCCCGCTGTGATATTATATGAGATGGGGAAATAGCTTCAGTCAGCTCTAGACTTACATTGAGCACTATCAAAATGGTGTGAAATAAGAGATGAGTGAGAGGTAATGCCCCAGAAAAAATGTCTGTGCTTGGAAATTTTGAAGTGGCAGGTGGAAGTAGCTTTGGAGGTGCCCTTAAGACAAGGTGGATAGAGGTGCCAGGAGAATGAAAAACAATGACCTGTATATATTCTCCGAATGCTAATTATCCAAACAAAGAACAAGCTCTAAAAGGAGGCTTCTTATCAGACATTAGGCATGATTAGCAAATACATTTTTCTCTGGTGTAGTATTTGAGAGGCCGTTTAGAGTTTAAAACAAAATACTAGCTTAATTATATTCCAAACTCAATTGAAACACTAGGGATAGTTCATACAGAAGCTTAGTATTATTTATTTATTCCTGTTCAGACTATATCTAGCTGTTTGGCTGTTACTGTTGTTTTATAGACAGTTTTCAATTTGTTATAACTCCTGATATTTCTACATTTATTATTCTATGTGATTCTGAAAACTGGTGTGTCATATTTGTATCACACACCTGTTGGCCAGTAGTATTACAGTAATCCTCTAATGAAATCAAGACTTGTGATGATTTGAGGTTTTTTTTTTTTCTCTTCTTTAATTTGTCCTTCACCTTCGCTGTGATTAAATATGTTCTCTTCAATAAGTACTATAAAATGTTGTTCTTTAATTTTTTGGTTAATATAAATAACAGTTTAATCCCAACATCAGAAAGGTAAATGATTTTTTGTACATTTCTCCACTAAAGAATTTGGTATACAAAAATATGGTATATGTTTTTGTTGGTACATTTTTCTACATCTTAATATTTTTAAAATATATTTTCCAATGGATGTCAAAGTAAACGTGCTAGCCATTCTATCTCTTCCTCTCTTCTTTGATCTCATTTTACTTTTCTCTTCTTCCTTCTTTTTTTCCCCTAAAGATCTTACTAAATTTTGCTTTTCTTTATCATTGATAACATTTTTCTTCTTAATAGAAAGGAAATATGATCATTCACGTCACGTTAGGTGAATTGTCTGAATGTAGATCACATCAGAAGAGGTGGTGCATAAATATTTGAGGTGATGGATATGCCAATTACCCTGATTTGCTCAGTACACATTTTATACATGTATCAAAATATTACCTGTACTCCCAAAATGTGTACAACTGTGATATATCAAGACTATTTTAAAAAGAAGAGGCGATGTAAGGTAGCCATTGAGACATTGAGAGCACAGACTTTAGTAACAGACTGTCTCTGTGTGAATCCTGGTTCTGCTTCTTATTAGCTATGTGACTTTGGGCAACCTTTCTGTGCTTGCAGTGGCTCATTTGGAAAAATTGATAACACAAAATTACATATATATCATAGAGTTTTTAAAAGCAGTAAGTATATTAAGTATGTAAAGTGTTTGGAATCATACAACGTATTATATATGTAAAATAACCATTATTGTCAGGCACTATTGGAACTGCATCTTCTCACATTTCTCATAGAACCATATTCATTTATTACACATTTATAAGGGGAAATTTTCATCTCAAGCTTTTGATAAAGGTAGAAATACATTGTTTTTTTTAAAGACAATAATAATGACAGCATTCTATAAATGTTTTTGGTTTATTTTGATTACTGATAGCAAGAAAAGCAGCATGAGCTAATAGGAGTTATTGTTCTAATTGCAGTTATGAGAGGCTTAATAAGGTAAAAATTACAAATTGGATTTTCAAGAAGCCTAAAAATGATACCATGGTTTATGATTAATAAAAATATAACAAAGTCTGAGATATCCTCATGCATGTGAGAGAGTCAGTTAGAATGACTGTGCTCCTGGGAACATTCTGAAATCACAGCAGCAAAAGAACGTGATTACTTCCCTGAAATTTGATTGTGTTTTTTACTTTGGGATCCTGGGAATATAAAAAGTTGAAAACATACAATGTATAAGCAGCAAGATACAATAAGTGAAGCCATAATCTACCATCATAAAAGTTCAAGATAGTATTTTTATAAGTCAGAATAAAAGTTTTAAACTTTAAAATTATATTCTGAGGAACAATGAATTGAAACAGATAAGTATTATAATCACCTTGAGTTTATTACAGGATCATTTAGCTAAGAGGTTGAAAATAGCTTTTTCCCCTGAATTTTATAGGTCCATTCATGCACTGGTGAGTTTTTTTCCCCAGCTTTGTCTTCTTATTTTAAATGTTCCTGTAATAAACATAGGTCCT